>NC_000006.12:98404123-98555638 GCF_000001405.40 Homo sapiens | reverse complement strand
CTGGTACTGAAATATTTACAGATGAAAGGATATGATCTCTATAATTTGTTTCAAAATAATCTGAAGGAAGAAAATCTGGGGATAGGTGGGAATATAGATGAAAGAAGATTAACCATAATTTCAGAAACTGAGTAATGGGTACATGGAAGTTCATTTTACTATTCTCTCTGTTTTTGTATTTGTTTGAAATGTTCTATAATAAAAAGTAAAACAAACCAACCACTAGATCACAAAGGTGCAATTTGGTGTTGTAAGATCAGTACAAAATTTATTCCAAATCTATGCATATCCAGGCTTACAGATATTAAAATACAGTAGCAGAATATCAATGAAAACTAAACATTTAATAGTTAATTTTAACAAAAACCCTATTCTATAGCAAACAAGACTGAATATAACAGTAATATAAAAGTAAGAAGGGAAGCTTCCAGAAGTTAGTTATTTATGTCCAATGGATGAACTTCATGTATCAATTTTTATTTTTATTATTTATTTATTTTAGTTTATTTTATTTTTGAGATGGAGTCTCACTCTGTCACCCAGACTGGAGTGCAGTGGTGCGATCTCGGCTCACTGCAACCTCCGCCTCCCGGGTTCAAGCAATTCTCCTGCCTCAGTCTCCTGAGCGCTGGGGTTACAGGCACGCGCCACCACGCCCGGCTAATTTTTTGTATTTTTAGTAGAGATGGGGTTTCACCATGTTGGCCAGGCTGGTCTCAAACTCCTGACCTCAGGGGATCCACCCGCCTAGGCCTCCCAAAGTGGTGGGATTACAGGCATGAGCCACTACACCTGGCCCATGTGTCAAACATTTTAACAAACATTCCTTTTTTGCTTCCAGATACCAGTCAGGATTGTTACACTGGCTTTACCTTTATCAATTTAGTTCTGCAGACTTTCTGAGCTTCCTCCCCAGAAAGGAAGACAGTGAATTAGACACAATAATTTAATTTTTTTTCTAAACTTTGAGTGTTTATACAGCATCTTCAGTAACTTTCTGATGAAGACCATGACATTAAAACATGAATGGCTGCTACTTGTCATCTGAATATACAGCTTTTAACATAGTAAGATTTTAGTAGTATTAAGCAGGAAAAATTATTGAATAATAAAACTTTAGGGTCAGGTGTGGTGGCTCATGCCTCTAATCCCAGCACTTTGGGAGACTGAGGTGGGTGGATCACGAGGTCAGGAGTTCGAGACCAGCCTGGCCAACATGGTGAAACCCCGTCTCTACTAAAAATACAAAAATTAGCTGGCATGGTGGCGGGTGCCTGTAATCCCACCTACTCAGGAGGCTGAAGCAGGAGAATCATTTGAACCCAGGAGGCGGAGGTTGCACTGAGCCGAGATTGCGCCATCGCACTCTAGCCTGGCCAACAACACGAGACTATGTCTTAAAACTCTAAAGTCAACTTTTAAAATAAACCCTTAGATAAGTTTGAAGTCTTTCCCCATAATAATTATCTTTTTCATTATTGGTAAATCTTCATTCTCCTCTCCTGTGCTGTCCTTGACATATATATTATTTTATATGTATATATATATATTTTATATGTATAAAAAATGTATATATATATTTTAAGCTAAGCAATCTTATCCTAACTTGGAGCTAAAATGTTCCCTGGACTTTGACAGCCCTGTACTTGAGGCACACTAGGGTTTAAAGACCCAATCTCTCTTCTCTCAGCTTTAGCACTGACTTGTCTTGGTCTCTGCCACATACCATCATCCCACTTAGGTTGCTAAAACTAATTAAAAGAAGGTCTTAATTTTCAACCTAACACTGTCAATCAGCTAAAGAGGTTTATGCTGCTCCTTCAGTTCTTTTGCTTTGCATTTCTCTGTGAGGCCAATAATATTCTTCCTAAAGAGGAAGAATGGAAAGAGGAGCATGGAAGTGGCAGCAATGTTGCCCCAATTTTACACAAGTGTTTTCCTACTTCTTCTTTTGCTTTTTGAAAGCATTAGGTCCAATTTCTCTCCCTCAAACTCTCAAGGAAAGAAAAAAAGTCATTTATTTTAAGTTTGCAGATGTTATTATTTTCCTTTATGAGCCCCCACCTATTTGGTGCCTTTTCTGGGTCAGGCAATTGTCTGGATGCTTTAAACACATTAACATTTAGTGTTCAGTTATTATGTCCCTTTTTAATATAAGGAACTGGAGATTAGAGAGGCAAAGATGAAGTAACTTGTACAACAAGGATTACAAAAGTAGTAAGTATTAGAGGCAGAATTCAAACCAGTGTCTCCTACCTCCAAAGCTTGGAGTAGTTCCTATTGTCTCACAGGTTATTTAATTAAATGTTTCCCAGCAGGCTCCCATTGACAACAGTTTTCAGCTCTGTACAGCAAAGTTTATTTAAAATGAATCAGAAAAAATACTGTTTTCTTCGTAGAGATTATTTCATAGTGGTCTTCAAATAGCAACTTTCTCTTACCACAGCACTCAATTAATTATTGGCATGATAACAATATTTGTTGAGCTGTCCTGTTTCAAACTAGGTAATAAGACAACATCATACAACACAGTTTCTGTCTTCAAAATGTTTATAGAAGCATACAAACATGACATACTCTTTCTTCTGCACAATGTTAACTTCATGAGATTAGCATTCAATTTTTATTTCTGCTTTATGATTTAAAAAAATCTTTAAAGGCAAAGTAAATTCCACTGGAGAATGGTAATTGTTGGATGAAGACTTAAGGCAAGTGAGAGCACTTATTCCTCTTCCCTGGACTAGCAAAGTTGTCTGCACTGGGAATAAGAATGGGAGGAACAGCCTGGGCGCTGTGGCTTATGCCTGTAATCCCAGCACTTTGGGAGGCCAAGGCAGGCAGATCACAAGGTCAGGAGATCAAGACCATCCTGGCCAACATGGTAAAATGCCACCTCTACTAAAAATACAAAAATTAGCTGGGCATGGTGGCGTGCACCTGTAGTCCCAACTACTCAGGAGGCTGAGGCAGGAGAGTGGCTTGAACCCAGGAGGTGGAGGTTGCAGTGAGCCGAAATCAATCCACTGCACTCCAGCCTGGAGACAGAGAAAGACTCTGTCTCAAAAAAAAAAAAAAAAAAAGAATGAAAAAGAATGGTAGGAACAATGGTCTCTGTACATGGTTGAGAGAATGGGTATGCTCAACTACTCCTCCTACTTTCCAGACTTAAAGCTTCAAAAAACATATCCATTCTCTGCACCTTTGTGTAACTATATACACACATATAGATACACATACTACATACACATTTATGTAGAGAATGGATATGTTTTTAGAAGGTTAAAGTCTGGAGAGAGGAGAAGATGACTACACAAGTCATATGGCTTCAAAGTAGAACCAAGGGGTCAAAGAAAAATTTTAAACCAGGAGCTTGTCAAAGA
This sequence comes from Homo sapiens, assembly GCF_000001405.40. Classification (NCBI taxonomy): domain Eukaryota; kingdom Metazoa; phylum Chordata; class Mammalia; order Primates; family Hominidae; genus Homo; species Homo sapiens. The sequence continues at coordinate 98,552,258 of NC_000006.12, read as the reverse complement.
GACAGTTAATTTTCATAGTTATTTAAAAATTTGCTTAAGCGAAGGTATCAAAGTAGGGACATAATTAAGAACAGAGATTTAAGGATAGAGGGATAGAAATCCAATTACGGGAAATCTTTATTTGGAAGTGAGGTTGCAGTAGAAATTGTGACTTTCAAACACATTTGCACAAGAAAGCAGAGTTTGGGGATCACATGGCTATTGGCAAAAGAGAGACACACATGTACAATCATAGATGATGTCAATGATTCTAAGACCCAGTGGAAGGACACAGTGGAAAAGAATTAAGAAAAGACCAGAATTTAGTCTGTGAGCAATGAAGTTGGACAGGACAAGGGAATTTTCAGCCTTTATGTGGGAGAAAAGAGAAGATGTAGCATTGAACAGCAAGGCAGAGGTGAATATTGGAAGGTAAATCTAGAAGATAAGAGTGAAGTAATAAAAAATAAAGCATCTTGGATAGGTTTATAGTTTCCTTTGCTTTAAGATGGACATTCTGTCTACACGCCTCACAAGCAGCTGATATGCCAACATTTTGCCACATTCTAGAGGACATAAAATGCTTTGTGTTCCTTCTTTCAATGAGATTTGGGATTAAAGACCAATCAAACTGTCCAAGTAGAACAACTATGGAAATTTTTTATTAGTGATAGTGAGAAAATATTATTAAAAAAACATCTGGAATATAACATGTTCTACTGATTAGATATATTCCCCTGACTGCCATATGCACAGAAATACATGAATTACATGTGTATATAAAGCTGTGAATATATCTTGGCATATCTCCTGGAAGAGATGCCAAGTTTTACATATCTATCTATATATACATACATATAGATACACACATACATACTACATACAGAGATGAATTAGATAGTTTTAGATGTTTGTTTAGTCCATTAGACACTAACAAGCTATTGAATAAGTAAAATCAGGAGACAGTGCCAATTGAAACTTATGTGCTTGTTATGGTGGATGTGCAGCCCTGCCTCAAGGCAAGGAGATAGGCTCCTGCTTAGCACCAAGCTGTGTACCCCGTGGCACTCAATAAATCCTTGTTAACTGATTGACTGACTAAATGACCTCTCACTGCTCCTTCCGGCCCATCTGATACACAGCTAGGGTGAGTTCTGATGTTAGAGAATCTCCAGATAGTGAGTAGAGCAGGACTACATATATACATGTGGGTAACTAGAGATGGAAAGGAGCAAATGCGTTATCTAAATACCCTCTCTTCCAATTGCTAATACCACATTAGATAAAACACAGCTCCCTTTCTCTTTAATTACCGGAAGTACTTGAAGACCTTTGTTATAAAACAGTGGTCTCTAGAACACAGCCTTGTGGCCAATGAATTGAGAATGACATTACCATGTTCAAGTACACAAATTCTGTTTATCAAGTATTCCTAAGAGCCAAGTCTGAGGCAAAGACACACAGTTCTCAAAACAATAAAGCAAAGATAGGAATTTGACTTGATGTGTTCTTTCCAAATGAAATTCAGTGAGATATTTTTTGTTGCGATTCAAGAGAATATGTTGAAACATATTTTTTCTTCTCTTTAATTTTTGAGACTTTTTATTGGTTCTAAGACTATTCAAGGATATCTAATATTTTCCACATCCAGTCTTTTTAATTCCCTTTTGTTATCAGATTTTTCTCATTTTTAATTAGTCCACTGATTTTAAAGAGTTGCAAATACCTTATAGGAAAACTTTCCATAACATCCTTCTTTGAAGCAATTTTTTCTGCATGTTATTTATGTTCTACATTTCTATTGTTTTACTTCCAAAGTAATTTACATAAGGTACTACTAAAAATAAAAGGATCTGAATATCTGTTCACCTGCTTTATGTTTGAAACAGATAAAAATTTTGAGTTTCTCTTCCAGACATCATAAGTAAGTTCTTTATTTTTAACAAAGGTTTATTTTTCAAGTGAAGAACCACTTATCTATAAATATCATTGAGTCATCAATGAAGGCTTTTTATCAATTTAACAGATCTTAATCTATTACTGTCCACTTGTAGGGTATGATCACAAAACTATAGAAGTTTCATGAACTAGTTTGAATCAATAAAACTTCAATAAATGTGTTCCTGCATATGTGTTGTTTTTAAGTAGGAATATATGCTTATAGATAACTGGGATATTTGCTATGTTTATGACACACACAATAACACATACATATAATCTATTCTAAAATATATATTGATCTAAAGTATTGAATAATCATATTTAGTATGAGATTGAGTAGCAAGAGCCTATAAAATATTATAAAATGTTTCTTTGTAGATGCCCTGAAAACATTAATATGACTTTTACTTTACATCCTTCAGGTACATTGCTAGGTGACATTCTCTGTCCTGAACACTAGGACAGAGGAAAGCCCAAAATTTTAATAGTCAGAAGTGATGTTCGTATAGAGATTTTCTATTCAATGAGTCTGCCCCTGGCCAGGGTCCCTAAGTCTTACTTAGTTACTTCTTGAAGTTTAAACACTGTCTTATGGCTTATCTGCCTGTGAACGTTTGGAAGACTAATTAGCTAATGTGAATTTGTGGCTTATTAATTGGTCACAGCTCTTCTATGAAAGACACAGTGCAAATTATTAATCTGTATTTATTTTAAATGAAATCTACTGGAGTACTTATCATTATTTGCTTTTTTGGAGAGAGGAAGTGCAGCCCAGAGGTTGAGGCAGAATATTAGCTTCTCAAAGCTGGAAATAACGTTAAAGGTCATGGAGGCCAATTATGAGATTGGCAAGGAACCTGGAGTCCAAGTATTCGATTTGTCTGAGTCTCCATTCAAAAGAACCAGGACACATATATACTTTCATTGTTTAAAACTGAGTTGGAGGGAACAATCATCTGCAAAAATTTTCCAATATTTCTCTGAATGCAAAATTGTTTTATAATACAACTTTTTCATGTCTTTATTTTAAATCATGACAAGCTTCACCCACTTTGGACAGCTGATTTTAGAGCTGCTTGAAGACTGAATTCTGCTACCCTCAGCTGAGGGTAAAATTAGCTTCGGCTCTGGGAGTTTTACATGATCTGGGGACTGGTTCAAAGCAGAAAAGGGACTAGAAAGATGTATCAGGCGATAATTGGCCCACATAGGATTTATCATGTCTCTGTGGGGAAATGTTTAGGAAGTGATATTTCCTACCTATTCATGGGAACATTCCATGTATTTTTGAGTTATGCTTGTCTGGAACTTATGTAAAGGGATTGTGATGGTGGCTATAAAATTAGTTAGACAGCCTGGTCATAGCTCGATAGACCAAAAGAGAAAAGTCGATAATTAAATTTCAGCACTTCTTTCAAGATGATAGCTTAAGCTATCAGATAAATAGAAATGTTCTTACATATTGATCAGTAGAAACAAAACAATGTTTTATAAATAACGTCAGAGGAAAAAAATCATGAAAGATGTTTGGATACTGACATTATAATTCAGTGATCTTTTCTGGATTTAAAACCCCTCCTCTCCACTATTTTGCTAGGACGGTAGAATAATAGAGAATGTATGTTTCCCTCTACAAGGATTTTGCTTCTTCTAGCCAGTTCTAGGTAAACCCTCAATTTGTTTTCCCAAATCTTATACACACCTGCCTCCTACATCAAAGCACCATTGACTGAAACGATATAAAATCCCTGGCCTCCAACCAGAGATGGCCTAAATGCAGGAAAGTAAGGATAAATTAAAGTGACAGGGTCTCAGCAGTGGAAATTAGTGCAACTCTTCTAATTGCATGTCTAGCCTGAATGATGGGATACTTAATTCTTACACATCCCAGACAATTGCTTTATACTAACATGAGCTCTGGGAAAAAGGCAGATTCTACAGACATATGGAGCAGTAGATGGAGTGGAAAAATAAATCAGAGGCCCTAGCCACTCTGGAAAAAATATGTTTTATCTACATTGTTAATAAAGGTGTTGCTACTGTTAAACAATATTGATATTGTCCTCTTGGTCCATTCTTTCCATAAAATCTGAACATTAATTAAATGGCAGAAATCCAACCTGCCTGTGTTAACTCTTGTGCCACAAAACAACAACAAAAGTATGATGGGTAAAGACATAGTTCCTTTTGTAAGAAAACAAGGCCGCAAGCCTAAATATGAATCCCAGGGGACAAATGGATCAGGAACAACAGCATCCTCTTCTCCCACTACTATAAGAAGTGCTAATAAAAGCCTTCAAAACTAGCATGGGTTCTTATATCTATTTAACCTTTCGCCCCAAGAAGCAAAGAGCATCTGGTTAAGTGGAGAGTAAAAGCACAGCAACTTTTCATTATCAGAGCTTACAGGCAGAGTGTGGGGAAGCTGGAGCTGCCAAGCCTGGGTTAAATGCTTGTTGCCTTCACTGCCTGAGGCCATCTAGCGTGTTTAGAAATGATTAAGTACTGCAGCCTAGAAAGGACCTGTCCTGAGCGTTCATCTCTGACTTCCAGCAGAAAGGAGAGGCTGGCAATGACAGAGGCAGATGGATGAGTCTCATTAGTATGGCGAGGCAGCGAACCAGACTGCCTTCACAGAGCTGTCCAAAAAGAGGGAGCAAATTAAAATAGGATCTGGGAAAACCAATGAGCAAGTGTTTTAACTCTCTGCTACCTGGTTTCTTCAGCTGGGAGGCTATAAGCCAGCCTGGTTTACTCTGAAATGCTGCTACACTATGAAATGAGAGAATGGCTTTTGCAGACTCACAGTTACAGTCTGTCGTCTTTTTTGCATCCTTTAAAAAACGATTCTTGCACTTTTTACAGCCGAACAACACAGATGATTTCATTCTTAAGCATGTGTTACCACCACTGAGCAGAGCAGGGTGGAAGGAGAAGGGTAGAGACTTCAACCTGCAGAGAAGGTGGGAGGCCGTGCATTACACAGTGAACCAGTTTGACTAGATGTTACCTAAGGATCAGAGACCTGCTTGGGAGCCAGGGTTTCACACGAAAGGGCTGAGGCCCTTGCTGGAAGAGTGGTAGTTCTATTCCAAGTCCATTACCTTTTACAATGAAGAAACTTTGGTCGTGCTGAGGACTGCCTGACTGGAATTTCAGAGACTGAAAGTCAGCAAACACTGACCTGAGAGAGCTGTTCCTGGGGAGTGAGGGGCTCATAAGATTCCGTGATGTTCTCTTCGTATGGCTCTTAAATTAAGGGAGTTTGGGAACCCAGGGCCAAACCTATTAAGGGTTTTCCAAGTGCTATCAAACCAAAAGTAATGGGCAATTCATTGAACAATAGACTTGATCTGATGAAAGCCTTCTGGCCTTCCCCTTTTCGGTTGCTTGCTTACATTTTGAGCTTGGGCAGGAGATAAATGGTATACTTAATGCTATGGGGCAACCCTTAAGGTTTTGGAAAAAGTTGGTAGAAATTATGTTTATTCATTCATTCAGCAAATATTTACTGTGTCTTTCGGGTTATATGAGGCCCAGGGAACCAAAGGGGAAGAAATATTTCCTGACTTCCTTCAAAGTTCTAAGTCTAGTTGAGAGAAGACAGAGAAGCAAAATAACCATATGAGAAGTCTCTAAGAGGATAGCCTTGCTCCAAAGGCTGAGTGGAGGCTAAGCACTGATTGATACAGAGAATCTGCCATCAAGGAGCTTATGGTTCAGGGAGGGAGCCAGACGTGGGAACAATCAATTTCAAAGCCGACTGAAAAAAGTGCCAACTAGATGTACAAGAACCCTGTTGTGAGAATCCTAATGCAAGAGCAATTAATTCTGCCTGGAGGGAGAGCAAAAGACTTCACAGTGTGGTTGGCATTTATGTTGTGCTTTGCAGTATACACTGAGGGTATATTATTTAAATAAAGAAAATTTATAAATAAGGGTTTCTATTCAAAAGAGACCATATTTTTTTTTCCAAATGTATTTTTGCTTAGTGAAAATTGTGTCAACGTTAGGCCCTACTTCATCATGACTTGTTTCAGTTGATTGTTTGCCAAAAATGGAATCGTCTGAAGCTCCATGAGTGATCATAAGGAATAAAATGCAGGCTAGGAGGTAAGACTGAAGTTGGCTGAAAATCTTTTTGATGCTGGGTAGATTGTGTGCTCCTCTCTCTATAGCATGCAGAAGCTGAATTTGGAAACAGCTGCTACTTTTCTTTCAAATGAATACATATTTTTTTTCTAATTAAAAAAAGCAAGAAAACAAAAAATTAAAAAAATGACAACAAAATAGGTGAATTGGGATTTTATCCAGCCTTAGGTAAAAAAAAAAAATCCTCTACAAGTAAGAAACTTTGGATTACAGAATCTGAAAAATTCTCAGGTTGTACATTTTTCCTGGAGAATCATCATTTTTACAAATCTAAACATAAGTTGGCGGGTTTCCAGTTAGACATCTAAAAAAATCACATAACCTGTTCCAAATTTACAAAAGTATAAGGTTGTATAAGCTATACATGGGAAGCAAAATTGTTTTTGGACAACAAGTATTATTCTGTAACTTACCAACTAAACCCAACCACCCAATTGTAAATTCCATAGCACCATAGTAACTTTTACCTGGAGTTAGAACTTGTAAAGAAGCAAAGAGTGAGCATCCTGGTGATGACATGCCTAACAACTAAAGCAAGAGTTTAGTGACAAGTAAGAAGACATTGTGCAGAAGAGGGCATTCTGAGTTGCCATGAAGAAAGACATAAGAAAAATATATATTATCCCTCAGGTCCCTATTGCTATTCAGATAGATTTTCTTTGTACACATATGTATCTGCTATTGACATCAGGGCCTGAGAGGCTAAGCCAATTGACTTTGTATTTTAGAGTTGCTTCCTTATCCCACTCAATATAAGCAGAAACCATTTCTCATATTTATCTTCATGTAAAATGTACATGGATAAATCATTTAACTAAATGTAAGGTATCAGAAAATGGTTCATACAAAGAAAATAATATTATGCAGTATAAACTCCCATTAAGTTGTAATGTGGCTGACATTGATTGAAGGAGATTAAGTCTAAGACTCTTTTTCTCATGACATTTTTTCAAATAAATAAAGGTAACAGGAGGGAAATGTTGATGCTTTTTTTCTTATTTTGCATATAAATTTTTACCTGTGTGATTTTTTTTTCCAGCCACTTTTATTCCTAGTGCGGTATTACTGGGGTCTATTAACTGAATCCTGGATAGCAATGATAACTGTCAGTAAAGCAAGGTCAAAACTGACCTTTATCGCTGAAAAAAAGGCTGGCTACCTAAAGATAAACTTTCGTGTTGAATTTGGAATGTAAAGAGGAAGGTTGAGGCCATGAAAGGAGCAAATCTGAATAGAAATCTATGAATATTTCATGTCTGAGAAGAGGTTGGAACCTTAGTATGACATTACCCTGACCCTTGTCCTAAAATACTTTCAAAAGAATATTCTGATCAGCAGCAGACCACGTCAGAAGAGACAGGTTTTTCTTACTTAGTAGGAAAATTAAATTGTGGCATAAAAATATCTGTACTTCAAGCTATTCTCCTAAATGAACTACACTGTGTGTTTATGTTCTGTAAGGGTGAGACTAACCAACTTACTCCTTGGATTAACTTTATGTGTCCCTCCAGATTTGGAGGCCTAGGTGCCCCCATAGCTACTCTGCTGCCCCAGATCCAGTCGAATAGACTGAGAAGAGGCACTGCTTTCCTAAACGGCAGCACACAACATTAATAAATACTCAGTGAACACTTATCTGATTAATTGGATGTGTTGTCCTTTCTACCCCAAGATACTTAGGTTCTGTTAAGCTGGAAATTACGTAGTTAACGAGAAAGGGATTTATTGAGAAATGAATAGATGTCAAATGATATGCTAGGCTCCTTGAACATTTCAAATAATAACATAAATAGCACCAGTGGAACACTTAATATCTACCAGGTATTCCATTAAATTCCTCAAGTATGTTACCTTGTGGAAGTAGGTACCATTGTCATCCTCATTGCACAGATGAAGAAACTGAGGCACACCACAGCCCACACATTTTTCTGAGATCACAGTTTCTAATTGATTGAACATGGAGGTGCCAAATTGCTTATTCCTATAGTCTAGCAGAGAAGATCATTTTAGCAAGCAAAAAGCAATCAGGAAAAACAAAGTACTTGTGTGGTAGAGATGATATATGTGATAGAAAATCAGAAAAATAAATGTGTAGTTTGAATCAGTCTGTGAAGAATTTAGAAAACAGTAGCCTTTAGGAGAGAAAGAAAGGAAAGAGAGAAAGAGAGAAAGAAAGAAAGGAGAGAGAGAAAGAAAGGAAGGAAGAAAGAAAGAGAAAGAAAGAAGAAAAGGAAGAAAGAAAAAGAAAGAACAGAAGCATTCTGAGGCAGAGAATGCAGCAATGAGCAATGGTGTTTTCAGTGTGAGGCAAGAAAAATAGAGATTTTGTTTAATTAACAGTGCTAAACAGCTGCTGAGCACATAACTTGTGTGATCTGGGTTGTCTTTGATCCATAGCACCCTTAAGAGACTATGTGAGTGCCTGAGGGGATCTTTGTGTTCTTACATTAAACTCTTCCCTGAGACGGTACCTGGAACATTTATTTCAACTTGGAATACCCTGGTCTTCTAGATGCCATGGCCTGGCATCCAGTCAGGATCTGACACGTTCTCAGGGTTGGAGGCATATTCTCCTCTGTGTATTGATTTCTAGGGGACGTCCTGGCTTCATTTTAAGCCTAGACAGACAGAAAAGAGTGAAGTGTGGGGATAAATGGGTTGAGGAAAGAGACCGTTGACATCGGATTCTAGGAACTGTTTGGACTAAATAAATAAATAAATAAATAAATAAATAAATAGATAAAGCAACCATAATATGCTCCTAATCAATAACCTAGTTTGGCAGGTAGACATTTATACTTGGTACACAGGCGAGCCGAGGCTGCTTCTTTTTGACTGAAAGTCTAACCAAGAAATTCATCTAATGAGAACCGTGAAGGCACAACATCGAAGGAAGCATATCCACTAGAGGATTAAGAGAGCCTTTGGTGTCTACAGGCAGTGTAAAAACGCCTTTAAGGTTATAAGTGTAAAATTGGACTCTTTCAGGAAGCCCATAAACTTGCTCTGGGCTGAAATTCTCCAGTCGAGCATAAAAAACAGCAGTTGTGTATACTTCTGGTTATGAGCTAACAGGTGTCTGGAAATGAAGAATCGAATCACATTTCTATGATACAGTGCCACACAATTTCAGAGCCAATAATTTTTTCTTTGAAAAAGAAATTACTCTGTTCTATCATTACTGGTTTATAATAAAACAGAGCTTGACCTGCAAGTTAATAAAGAAAACATGTTTACTAATTAGGCTTTATTCTTGTTGTCTCATGTTAATTGCAAAATATCTATCTCATTTATGAATATGTTAATTTATGTCAGAGAAGCATGAGTTTTGAGTATGCACACTCTTCCTTTAATTAGATCAAAAGAAGGTCCGTTGCAGCTTTGCAAGATGGATTCTAATTTTTAATCAGTAAAATAAGTTTGGCTCCTAAAAGCCATCTTTTTTTGACAGTTGGAAAACACTAATTAACAGACAAAACTGTCTTAATTGCATTATATCACCGCATTCTTATCAGTTAGCTTATGTTGTCTGCTTGCTAATGCAAACAGTTGTGGCTTTGGTGAAGTCACCTCATAAATGTCTTTCTAATGCTAACTAGCAATCAATGCATGTAAAATTTCTAATGTTTCTTTAGGGAATTTTACATAATAGATGTAGTCTCTCTTTTGAGTTATGCCCTGCTATTTAGTATAATTAGTCCTTAAGGCTGCACCTATCATATTATCAGCTTCCTTAGAGATAAAGAACACTTTATTTAAGAACAAAGAATTATAACAGTTTACTTTAGAAATTTTCCTGCAGTAGGTTCAATGGAAATCTGTGACCTACCAAATAACTTCAAATTCGTAACAATTAAAAGTTTGTACCTTTAAAAGAATCCATTACAAGACCTTAACAACGAGAGAATATCTGGGAAAGGTTTTGTGTTGTTGGCCCTGGAGTCTGTTAATAGACTTTTATCACAAAACCCAGAACGCAGTGACTGTTTCTCCTGATTCAGGTCCTTCTGACACCTTGGCTCTGTTCTGCTGCCAAAGCTCTCCTCAGACACCAAAAAGATAAAACCTCATTGACTGCACAGCCCCCTTCTAGGGCCTGCGACGAAGGATGCCACTTTGTGTTAATTGTGAAAGTAATTTTGAGTAGGGACATCTTTGCTTCTCCCTTATAGGTGTGCTGCTGAAATTGGTTACGCTTCTCACATGGGTGACTGAGATGTTTTAAGACGATCTGGGCCACATTCTGTTTGTGCTCTAGAGGTAAATTTTTTTAATGTCCTGTGAAACGTCAGATGTAGGACCTTTGTTTAAGCCTTGATAATGGGGCATTAATATGTCTTTCCTACCATATAAAAAGTATTCCCAATGAAAATATGCAGATTGAATTACTCATAATGAGTAGTTAATGACTGTGAGACTAGTTATAGAGAAAAGAAGAATGACGCGGGGGCTGACAAGACTATGGAAGTGGTTGCACTGCAGTTAAGTCAGACCCAGGGGGAAGCTATTAGGACCTACTTTGGAATCCTCTAAACCTACATTACAAGCAGAATCTTCTAGTGCATGGAGAGACCAGTTCTGCAGATTTTCTAGACACTAAGTAGGCTCACTTCTGTATGTTAGGTTAATTTTCCTGCAAATTTGTACCAGATTCCAAAACTCCCATGCATTCACAATAGAAAGAGAAGTAAAACTGACATTTATAAAAATACTATCCTTGCACTTCGAAGGTTCTCAAGACCACAGGCACACACACTCCACAAACTAATCATACAATGCAAAAATGTCACTGTTTCTAGAGTAGGCATCTTTTTACATAAACTCATTTATCATCTAGTATTATGGTAATTTAAAGGTAAATTTTCCAGTTGGTCTTTTCCTTTGTGTTTCTACTGTTTCCACCTCCCCTTCTCACCTCACTGCCCCCAACAAGAAAATACAAAAATAACAAATAAAAATTGGTAGAGGGAGCTGGGAAAGACAATTAAATTGAGTGGAGAAGGCCAGGGCTAGGTGAAAAGAACAGCTGAAGAGTTTCTGACAAGGAGGTTTCATTATCACCAGTTGTTTCCTAGTAGGCATTCATGAAAACGTCAGCTGTTCCAAGGTACACCAATATGTTCCTTTGCTGATTCCACATGGGAATTTCTGCACAGACCACTGAGTGAAGGAAGCCGACATTTAGGTATCTGGGCTCAGCAGCCTTCCGTTTATATCTGACTGCTTGTCCATGGGCCATACACCTGGTATTCTTCACCGCAGAACATTACTAATATATGGTTATATATTCTAAGACATCCCTGCTTCTGCAAGCACTGGATGTGAAGAACAAGATGTTTCCTGTGAAGTCTAGCATAAATCTCTAGATTCTGGTACTGTACAAAATTTCACTGCCAGAATTTCCTTGTCACTATAATATTTGCATGTGAAAAGTTACATTCACTCAACTTTCTATAGACTTCTCTGAGGGGGAAGTGTCTCCAGGGCCAAGTCATGGAACCAAAATGTAAACAAATTCCTTTAGGATTTCGGTGTCAAATATACTTCAAAACAACACCATTTTTCAAAAACGAATCTTTCATTTGCATATTAGCTAGTTTGATTCCTTAGTCAGTTGCCCATACAACTGAGTACTTTTCATATGTTAGACATTTGTTTTTAGAGAATGCAATTGATACTGATAGCCGTTCTAAATCAAACCTAGATTGCTTTTCGTTCTTTATGACGCTCATATGAATTTTGTTATGTGGACACAAACTTTTGTTTCTGGTTTTGCCTACATTGAATGAATGTTTACAGTGATGCATTATGTGCCAGAATTTCTCAAGTGCAAAGATAAATACTGCCTTTGTTTTTGGTGAACAGAAATAAAAATTAATAAAGTAGAAATAAAAGCCTTGCAAAGGGTACAGCCCCCTGAACCTTGTGAGGGATGGATGGCCTAGAACTGATTAATTATCTACTTAAATGTCTCCCGAGTTACACTCAGACTGAATGTTTTTTAACAAACAGCACACACCTATTCATCTATCATTCCAAGGCCACATGATGAGATGTGCTGGACTTAGTATGCCTTCCTTCTCTCTTTCAGTTTCCCTTTATTGAAAAGGCAAGGTGATTGAGTGAGATCTGCGCAGGGAACATTTAGGCATCCACCAGGTGGCTCTTAGGGTAAACTGTACTTTTATTTTTAGTAGTGGAAGAGCACAGGAAGTGATGCTAACTCCTGCTCCCTGCCTGTTCTGATGATGTTATCACATGCCACCAGTCCATCAAAGACAAGCTCTCAGCAGTCCACTAAAGACTAATTCTCAGAGCTTCCATTCAGAATCTTTGTGCAGCCACCGGCTGCCTCCTGCCTGTGGGAACACACTCTGATTTCTACCTACCTCCTGTGACTTAGACCTCTCACTCTGGGGATTGCCCTCACAACTTAGGAATCCAACTCATAATTCTCCGTTTCAACTACTTCTTTCTTTCTATTTTCTGGAAGGTTCTCTTTCCTAGAATCTATTTCTGAATCCCATAGCCTTTTATTTCCATTTCCCTCATTTGTTTCTTTTCTCCTATTAACAAGGAGTTAAATATGGGCTTTTTATCATCATCCTATTTTAAGAAAGAGCTACTTATCCACTTATTTATTTTTCTATTCATCTCCAAAAAGAATTTTTAGCAATTAGGACACCTGTTTTCCTTTTGAGCAATTATTAATTAAAAAATTGTTAAATATAACAGGGAAAGCTTTTCTTTTAATAGGTAAAAATATCTCTTCACAGTATTTAAAAATGAATTTTTTAGTGAGGCCACAAAGTTGCCTTAAAAATTTTTAGGGTCTCCCTTTTGGTATCTAATTTCCTGTATCCTGATACAATAAGAGTCTTTCCTTTTGGAGTTAGGAGACAGGATGATGTCATCACCCTGAGACAGAGAGAACATGACATTTGGAGCCATTCAGACCTGAATCTGAATGCTGGCCTACTCACTGCCATTTAGTAAGCACACGACTCCGGTTCTTCAGTTTCTCATCTGTAAAATGGAGATAATATTAGCTGCATCAGTGACATGTGAATATTCAATTTTACAATTTCAAAATTATGAAAAGCACTTGAAAGATAGTGAACACCCAATTAAATTTAGTGCCCACTTTGACCTTTCTCCACTACTGGATTTTTCCAGATGAAAAATTAGGTAACAGTAAAAGAGATCTCAGCACATCAGAACCATACACTTATGCACATACATGCGTTCTGATGGACCATCTTTGCCTGGGCACGGGGGAGCAGTGAGTACACTGTGGATGTTGCAGAGGTTGGTCCTGATCTCTTCCCCAGTCTGCTTGGAGTGGCACCCAGCGGGCCTTCCCCAGTTACGCAGTACTGGAGTGTGTAATCACTTCATAAAAGACGTAAAAGGAACCCCAGAAGAGGAAACACATGCCTTCTTCCCCCCTAGAAAACCCCAAAGTAACTATAGGAATTACAATTCCAGAGTTAAAGAAAAAAAACCAAAACCTCTATCAATCCACAAAGCCCATTTGCTTATAAATTTCTGCTAAAGGGGTCAGTCCAGTTATGGGCAATGTACATTACTGGGTGAAATGGAAATGTCTGTGCATTATTTATTTATTCAGCAAATATAACATTTATAGAGGACCTATTTCGGTGCCAGGCATTGATAAAATATAACAATTAGTAAAAATAAACATGGTCCCTTCTGTCACTGAGCTTATGGTTTACTAGAGAAAGAAACAGTCAAATAATTACACAAATAAAGGCAAACTTACACTACTAATTAGAACATCAATGAGAGGCACATGGTATACTACGAAGCTTGCAATAAGGAGATTTGAACTGGTTGGGGAATAGATGGAGAGTTGGGGGAGGAGGGATGTGGTCAGACAAGGCTTCCTTGAGAGTTTAAGGTCGAATAAGAGCTGCCTTGACAAAGAGGGGAGAAAATAGCAGAGGCAAGGCCCAATGGCGGAGGGAACAGGGCGAGTACCAGAATCCATCTGCAAAGGTAGGCAAATGCCAGGTTATTCAGATCTTCATGAGCCATTTGTGCATCAGAGTTGCAACATTACCAAAAAATGGGTGAAAGTGTTAATTCTAAAGCTGGGGGTCTGGTTTCAAATCCTGCCCTGCTTCTTTCAAGCTATGTGACATTGGAAACATTGCTTAACCTTTTTGAATCTCTGTATCTTTAACTTTATAATGGGGTTGATAATAATAGTTAAACTTTCATTTATTGCTAAAGGCATGAGGCTTTGGATTAATATACTATTTTCTATCACCTACCTCTTGGGATTTTCATGCAGATTAAATGAATTCGATAAATGTAAAGTCCTTAGGACAATAGCTGGCACACGGCGAGCCCTATGTGTTAGTCATTACTATTATTTTGCATTTATCTTACGAGCAATGAAAATCCACTTGTTTTGTGTTTCCGAGTGGAAGGCAGGATCAATCCCCAATTCCCAAAGGACTTGGATGTCAAGACTAATGATGACATGCATGTGTCAGATGAGTATAAAAAGATTATTACACACATAATAAGACTTTCTGGGGAGAGCAGGGCAGGCACCCAAGCCACTCCAAAATGGCTTGAGTAAAAGGAGAGTGACTTTTTAAAAATCATGCTTATTGAGGGTAGGCTTGTGTGGTTTGAACTCCACCAGCACCAAGGGAGGGAGTACTCAAGCTTCCTTCCTTCCTTCCTTCCTTCCTTCCTTCCTTCCTTCCACCCTCACTCCCTCCCTCCCTTCCTTCCTTTCATTTCCTTCCTTCCCTCCCTCCCTTTCTTTTTCTTCTTCCTTTCTTTCTTTTTTCTCTCTCCATTCCTTCTTTCCTTCCTTCCTTCCTTTCTTCCTTCCTTCTTTCCTTCATTTTCTTTCTTTCCTTCCTTCCTTTCTTTTTTTTCTTTTCTTCTCTTTTTTTTTTGGACAGAGTTTTGCTCTTGTTGCCAAGGCTAGAGTGCAATGACGCGATCTGGGCTCCCTGCAACTTCTGCCTCCCAGGTTCAAGCAATTCTCCTCCCTCAGCCTCCCAAGTAGCTGGGATTACAGGCATGTGCCACCATGCCTGGCTAATTTTGTATTTTTAGTAGAGATGGGGTTTTGCCATGTTGGTTAGGCTGGTCTCGAAATCCTGACCTCAAGTGATCCACCTGCCTTGGCTTCCCAAAGTGCTGGGATTACAGGCGTTAGCCACTGCACCCAGCCAGAGTGCTCAGGTTTTCTTACCCGCTTGCCCAGATGTGGGGCAAAAGAAGGGAAAAAGGAGGGATAGAATTTGAAAGCTGTCATTGATCCAACATCAAAATTAAAAAATGGAGTCAGACTCTTTATTTCACCACCAGAGTGTTTTAAGAAAGCAGATGATTTGGTTATGAAGATCAATCTGGTTGCAAGGATTTTTCTCTTCTTAATAACATTATTTATCTCTCATACTTTCTTCAAGAAACAAAAAACTTATTTAGTTCCAGGACAACAGAGGGATTCTACTGATTTGGAAAAACATTTTGTCAGCTTGATTGTGCCTGTGTGTATGTGTATATATATATATATATATATATATATATACCTTTAATTCTTGGCCATTTGAATTGGTTAATAAAAGTTAGGTATGTAATGTATATCTCATCAGCGATATAGTTTCTAATAGAATTTTACAATAATCCAAATACTGACTGAGGTTATGATCTGATGCTGTTTAATTGTTTGATCATTTGTACATTTGTATTCGATATCATTTCAAAATGGCTCAGAATAATTGGTGCTGCTTAAAACACAATACTGTAATTTATATATTTTTAGTTAAAATGTACAATGCTTCCTTTTGTCTCTCTGTCTCTGCTCTTTTGTTCTATTAGCTTAACTTAGGCTAAACTCATTGAACTTCAGCAGAAGCAGGAACACAAGATGGGTGTTCTATATTTCTCTTTATTTGAACTATTATGGGATCTTTCAGCATCTTTTTTTCTATGTCAGGTTGGGTTATGATGGTATGGAAAACAAACTAAGCAAGTTGATATTTTCTTCACTATACTTTCATTTAAACATTGAAATAACTCACTCCGAGCAATGAATCTATTCTTTCATGCAGCCCAAGTGCTTGACTACAATCCTGTGTAGCATCTGCCATGAGTGCATTAAGGCTCATTTTAACATTTAAATTTATGTGTGAAACCAAACTCCCTATCTCACCTTGCTCTAAATCTTTCATTCTTCTGATTTCCTTCACAAACATTAATGTTTCACTCACCAAACTCTCAGTAAAGTAGATGTGAAAATTAGTCATCCTCTGACTCTTCCTTTTCTGTTGAAACTGTTGTCAAATCTCATAAATTCAGTTTTTAAAATTTTTAATTTATATTTTTAATCAAAACAATGTATGTGCATGGTTCAAAATCAAATGATTATAGAAGAATTTGTGACAAAATAACAACCCCTTGCCCCATCCCAGGCATGCTCACTATTTCTTCCTTCCTTCCTTCCTTCCTTCCTTCCTTTTTTCTCTGTGTCTTTCTCTCTCTTTCTTTGTTTCTTGGCCTTTTGGTAAGATTTATAGCTCTAAAGAATGTATTTGTGCTATTATTTCTCAATTTATCAACTGTAGGTGTTGTCGACCTCCTCGTATGAGGATTTATATTGCTCACACCATCCCTTCTCCAGCTTCCCCCAACCTAGTTATGATACTAGCTTTAATGCCTTCACTGGTTGACTCTAGAACCTCAATAACTCTGTTTAGACCTCTACTTTTTGTCTGATCAAACATGAGCAGTATTTCTTGACCCCTCATCAGGAGAGATAAGGACATTAACGCTCACAGCTTTTCCATCACCTCTTCCCTGTTCTGCCTCCTGGTCTCTGATAGCAATGCCATTATTTTGATATCGTGAAAGTGAACAGTGTTGCCCTTCTCTTTTCTTGTAACAGAGATTTTCCATAATTTGTCAGTTAATTATAAAACAAAACAAATTAACATCATTTACAGTATTGTGATTTCACAGATATTATATACTTGCAGAATAAAATTCTGCCTGTTCTTTTGCACCATTTGCCATGTCTTTCTTTCTGTCTCATTCCTACATTTCTGTCCTAATTTGCTGTACCTCTTGCCTATCCTAGTGCAGTCATCTCTGATTGGTCATGATCTCGAGTCTTTCCCTGTTCAAACTGATCCCACAGTGATGTAAGATGAATTTTCCTAAAGCACAGCTTCATTTATAGAATGGCTACTTTCAAAATCCTTCAATGGTTCAGCTGAAACATCTTGTTAAAATTGGTAGCTTGGCTTTCAATATCTTTTATAAACTGTGTCCCTCTGTGTAGGCTCTCATTTCTGCCTCTATCCATTTTATGCTCTCCAGTCTTCCCTGTAAAGCTCTGTTCCAGTCTATTCTTATACTTTTCCTTACAGTGCACCCTAACCCTGGATGTCTGCTTCCAGCCTACACCTGGTAAAAGTCTTCTGAAAGGCTCAGATCAAATGTCTTCTTCATACCTAAGGCCATCTGACATGGCAATTTTCTTGTTGTATAAGCATTGTCTTATACCGTCTTTACTTTCACCTGCTTTGGTGCCCTACTTGGATTGTGTCTTTGTAGATTTTTTTGTATATTTCTTACACATATTCAGCATAATAAACACAAATCATACTCACTTAACTTAAAAGTTATTGAATTGGGCTGGACGTAGTCTGGAGCAGTCGCTCACACCTGTAATCCCAGCACTTTGGGAGGCCGAGGCGGGTGGATCACGAGGTCTGGAGATTGAGACCATCCTGGCCAACATGGTGAAACTCTGTCTCTACTAAAACTACAAAAATTAGCTGGGTGAGCTACTTGGGAGGCTGAGGCACAAGAATCACTTCAACCCAGGAGGTGGAGGTTGCAGTGAGCCGAGATTGTGCCACTACACTCCAGCCTGGCGACAGAGTGAGACTTGGTCAAAAAAAAAAAAAAAAAAAAAAAAAAAAAGTTGTTGAATTGAATATACTTTGAAAATTTTCTGCAATTAATAAGAACATTGCATTGCCAAGGTTTTTGTATTCCTTTGTGTTTTTGATAGATAGGAAGAAGAATTAGAAAATACATTTTGTGGTTTGTAAATAACTTTGACTCCCACTGAAAAGAGACATCTACATATGTAAAAGATAATAAGGCTAATGGAAAATTTTATCCTTCAAATGTGATTGAGTATATCTGTTTTTTGCTGTTGATTCTAGAAGGATATAGCAATTCAGAATACATGTACTACAATTTCTATGTCTTTGTATATAGATGGCTAGTAACTAGCTGCAAAAGCCAGCCAGCATTTGGGTATTTCCTTTTCCTTTCAATGTCTTGGTGTTTCAGATAAAGCCTGTCTGGGATTTCATTTTGTTCATGGATGTAAGCATGATGATTCTTTCTCCTCTCAGTAATATGCTCTACTGGTGACAGTTCATCTATGAATGGAGATCACTAATACGAACCAGTTGAATCTCCATGGTCCCTGTTCTTTATGTAAGAAAATGGGATCCTGAACCATTTCTGCCATGAGCTCTTTCCTCTCTTTCTTTTGTATAAATGTAGGCAACTTTGCAAACACGTATGCATACTTGGAAACTTATTTTTAGACACTATTCTTCTAGAGAATTGTATTCTTTTCCAAATACATGTACATCTATCTTTTATTTCACTTACTAAGAACCTACGAACATAAACTAAGTGGGGGCATTTTTTATATCTATTGTACAAAACAAACTGGTCAAGACAATAACGGTTTCATGGCTAAATGGTAAGAATTGAACCCGGATGTCCTGGCACCTAGTATTGCTTACCCCATGACATTGTGGAACTTCTCATTTTGTAGCTTCTTGGATTCACATCTAGCTACCACGTTTAATTTAATAATGAAAAAATAATAATCCCTACCGTGCCAAAGAGGAAGTTATTCAGTTTAATATCCATATGTATCATCTATTTGTCATTAGGAAACATGTTTCAATTTTTCTTCTATTCCACTTCTATATGCATAGTATTCTCCTCTATAGCTCACATTCTTTTATGAAATATATAAAAGCAAGATACTGAGCTGTGGAGACTATTGTGGTGCCCATAGCAGCATATTCCCTTTTTATACATAATTAACTTTGATTTCCACAGATTTCTGGTTGGACCATTTACTACCAAATATCCTTGATCAAGTTACTTTGAATTCATTTTCCTCCTCTTTAAAATAGGGATAATAATATAACCTATATTATGTGTTGTTGTGAAGATTAAATGAGTTAACATAAAGCACTTTAGAACAATATTTGGTATAGACATGTGTTGCATATGAGTTTTCCGTTTGTATAAGGGTTCTGCAGAGAAACAGAACCTAAATACATAGATATAGAGAGACAGATACAAAGAAAGATTTCTCAGGAGAAATGGACTCATGAAATTATGAAGGCTGAGAAGTCCCACAATCTGTTCTCTGTAAGCTGGAGGAAAGCTTGTGGTATAGGAAAGCCTGTGGTATAGTTCCAGTCCAGACTGCAAGAACTAAGAATCAGGAGGGCTGATTTAGAGGGTAGAAGATGGATATCCCAGTTCAAGCAAAGAGCAAATTCGCCCCTTTTCCTGCTTTTGTCCTATTGGTGCCCTCAATAGACTGGATGATGCCTACCCACATTCGTGAGAGTGATCTTCCTCTCACTTCTTACTGATCCAAATGCTAATGTCAGGTTCTAACTGAGGCCCAAGGGGAGTTGGTGGGCGAGTGGCAGGTAGCTGGAAAAACACTTGAGGAATCGTAGAAAGTTTCGACATTGATTTACTCTCTCTCTGGCCAGGAGTGAGTCTGGGTGTGAGCCATACGTACAGCATTAGCAGGGTAATTATACCTTTTACAGACAATAGTGGTTCCGAGCCAAGCACGAGCTCATGTGGGTAATCACCTAATGCACTTCATGAGGTGTGGTTACATAATGAATGGAGTTGTGTACCTGCGCTCCAAACTTTCTGAGTCATGCTGGACCAGATGTCTGCCTTGGCCTATTATTGACCACAGCACATCCATTTTCTTTATACTCCACCCACTAGGCTGAGGGAGACATAGGCTTTGGACACACAGGTTTGACAAATAGGCCTCATACATAGGCTCTGGGCACACAGGCCCCAAACATGCAGGTCCGACACATAGGCCTTGTATGCAGGCTCAGGGCGCACAGGCCCTGGACAGACAGGTCTGATACATAGGAATGTATTCCACCTCCTAGGCTG
The DNA here is from genome assembly GCF_000001405.40 of Homo sapiens. Lineage (NCBI taxonomy): Eukaryota > Metazoa > Chordata > Mammalia > Primates > Hominidae > Homo > Homo sapiens. The sequence continues at coordinate 98,531,933 of NC_000006.12, read as the reverse complement.
AGGGAGTTTTTCTAGTGGGGAGACCCACCCACAGGGTGGAACCCTGGACCCAGAGGACACAGCAGTAATACAGGGGGCAACAACTCTAGGTTATGGCAGGCAACCACCCTATGGTGACATTACCCCAATGTTGCTTTATACGTTAAGCCAGGTTTTTATTTCCCTACCTTTAGGGGCGTTGGGGCAGCCAACAACAGGTTACCGTTTGTCCCCATATCTGGCCGGAGGAGGTCATCCTTCCTCCCATAGGTTTTGCCACGTGGCTTGACTCTACATGGGCCAGTGACCGACTAGCCACTTCTGTAACTTCTAGGTAGTTAACCACAAGGTTAAGTCTTGATAAACTGCCCAGCTATGGGTGTAGATTACCACAGGTGTCACCTCCTTGGTGATCACCATTCACACTGCCCTGAGTTCAGCCCATTGGCTACTTTGTTCATAGCTGGTATCAAACCATATGGTGTCAGTACTAGCTGGACCATGACAGCAGTCCAGGCAGTAGCAGCACCCTGGCTAGACCCATCCTTATACCATTCCTCATCAGAAATGGGGGGTGCCTTTCCTTAAAAGGTGAAGGCTTCAGGTCTAAGGGTGCCTCAGGCCCCATGGCCTTATCTTGCATTAGGACTACAGGTCCCAAGACCTCTTGCAACTCTGCTGCTAAGGGGCTTGTATTCATCATACTTTGCTGTTGTAAGTAAGCACCCACTTTGCTAAAGTGGGTGTCTGTGCTGTCCCAGTCCGGGGGTTTGTCACTCATGAATGCACCCACCCCACTATTGGGTAAGTTGCCCTCATGATGACTGTTGCCCATCCTGTCACACTCTCATGAGCCTGAAGGGTGGCACATGCAGCTTCTAGCTGCTTTTCCATCAAGGAATACTGGAGCTCAGCTCCTTCTACAGTTGGGACCAAAAGCCTACTGGCATTCTCAGGCACTCCACGTGTTGCCACAGGCCCCAACCGAAACCATCTGTGGTCACATGCACATCCAGCTCAAACGGGCACCCCTTGTCAACCAGCTGTAGGGCTTGTGCCGGCTGAATAGCCTGCTTGGCTGCCAGGAAGGCGGTCTCAGCCACATCATTCCAATCTCAGGCAAGAGGAGTGTTGCTGCTTCTAAATCTGCAAGAGAATCAGAGGCTAACATAATATTATCAACAAGACCATGACATATGGTGGGGCTATGCATACAGCCCTGTGGCAACACTGTGAAAGTCCATTGTTGCCCTACCCTGAAGGCAAACTGTTCCTGGCTCTCTAGAAAAACAAATGCAATAGCTAAGCCCACCACAGTAGTACTGTCCCAACTCCGTCATCAAGCGATTCATCAAATCTGTGATAGAACAGCTGCCAAGCCATGTAAAACATCCACCCCGAGAATGTATTCCGGTATGGGAGAGACATAAACAGTATATAAACGGAGAGCCAAACAGCCGATGCCAAGATGCAGAGATACAGATTTCACTTTCACTGACTGGCCTCCATAACCGTCAATGTGAGCAGGTTTGCCCAGAAATTTATCCGGGTTCCCATAAACAAGGCTGCAATCTGCGCCAGTATCCGCCAGTGCCAGCACCCACTATACATTGGTGGGGGACCAGTGGATCACTAATTCCACATGTGAACTCCAGTTGTCCGTTGTTCCCCCAAGCTGGGCACCTCTTCTAGTTCCTTAATCAAACAGAAAAGGCTTTACCCCTCCACCTGGCTGCAGCATGTAGTCTTTGAACTGGAGTGCTTGGGTGGGACTGGGTCACAGAGCAATGTCCTTCTCCCTCCTTGGGCATTTTCTGGAATTGCTGCTCTGGAGACAACTGTCTCCACAAAGTTAAGAGTGCTTCATTGGGCTGATTATCGATTTTCTCTCTGTCACCCCTGGCCAAAATAAAATCTATCCACATCTGTGAGTGTGTAACTCGTTGGAGCTCCCTTTGCTCTCGTTGTGTGTGTGGGGGGGTCCTCTGCGGGTGGGGCATCTTCCCTTTCTTTATGGAGCAGACCCCTAGGTACTGCCGATGACCTCCAGGCCTGCATTTCCAGCAGCCTCTAATTCCTTTTCCAAGCTCTGTAGCTAGGCCTCCAGGTGCCCCACCTGTGCCTGGAGGTTCCCATTCATGGCAGCTTCTAACTCTTTTTCTGAGCTGTGTGGCTGGGCCTCCAGATGCCCCACCTGTGCCTGGAGGGCCCCCACCTGCGCTGCATCCCTCAGGGACTGGGTGTGCACTTCTTGCAGCACAGTCAAAAATGCCCGTCTACCCGCTGGCAAAACCTCACTCCCTATGGGTGCTCTCTGCTTCCAGTTGCTTCAGCACCTTCTCCAGACAATAGTGGCTTTTACAGACAATAGCGGCTCTGAGCCAAACACGAGCTCATGTGGGCGTGGCTACATAATGAGCAGAGTTGTGCGCCTGCACTCCAAAGTCATTGAGTCTCGCCGGACCAGATGTCTGCCTTGGCCTATTCTTGACTGCAGCATATCCATTTTCCTTACACTAATTTCTCCCAGAAATACCCTCACAGACACATCCAGAGATAGTGCTTTACCAGCTCTCTGGACATCCAGTCAAGTGGACACATAATATTCATCAACATATTATGATTATGATTATTATAAGTTCAGGAGAGAGTAAGAGTGGACAACTGTCATAATAAAGATAGCATCATAGCAAAAATAGCTGTGTTTTCCTATTAATTCATTTATCTGACCAAGATGACTGTCATTTTAGTTTTCTTGCTTGCATTGGTTGTAACCTCCTTAATGTCATGTGATCGCTATGGTCTGTTGTCAAGGATGGAACACATGTAGCTCTAAGGCCATAAGCCTCAAGCTACTAGGTCCCCGTCTCTACACTCTTTCTGTCCCTGGTCACTCATTTGCCTTCTGATCATCTCCATTTTTTTGTTTCTGCTCCTCAGGCTTCCCCACTTCCCTATTCTCTGACCATGAGCTGAGTTTTCTGAAATTGATCAGGCACTGGGCATGTGCCCCTGTAGTCACGGCAGTGGGTGGGCGACGAGGCAGGGAATGTGGGGAGCAAGGAGATGTTATTCCTCACATGGGTTTTTACATATTAATGATCTCCCTTCTTGGGAAAGAAGTGCTAACCTGTTAAAATTTCCATTTTAAGATTCATAATGAAGAAAAATTATCTAACCCAGAGAGTGTTTAGAATAATACCAGACCAAAGCTATGGTTAGAACTTAGAAGAATTCAAAAAACTTCTAAGCTGTCTAAGACTTAGTTAGCTTTTTTTACTTTAATGGAGGAAAAAACGGGGAAAAAAGCCTACTGTAATAAAAAAAAAAAAAAAAAGAAGAAGACATTCAGTTTCATTTTTGCCCCTTGAGGTCACTTTCACTTTTAAGTTATGAAAAGAAGAATTTTTCTTTTTAAACTAATTCCTTCTCAGTCTGCATCTAAGAATTAGGTCATAAAATTTATCTTTCTAAAGTGCCATTCTATGGAGATGAGGGTGAAGTGTCCTCTTAGTCATTTACACATGTAACTGGGGAGTTAAACAGCCTGTCTGCAGTAATAACAGGTGACTGGATCTATCTGCCTCTTGTCAATTCTGGGGCAAACTTCAAGAGAAGGCCAAGCTGGTCATGTTTGCATGTTTGTGCCTAGGAATAGAGGAGCTTGGTTCCCCTTTACAGAGAATTAAAGAAAGGAGTTAAAATAACCCCTTCCTCACTTGATTTTCAAGCTTCTCTGTCCTCTGGAAAGAGTGACCCAGACTCTGTGTTCCATATTCAGGCTCATCGGTGGGGCATTTATGCTCATCCTCAAAGACAACTGAGATTGTGCAGCCCCAGCATTTGCCATCACATCACCATAACCCTAAAGGCGAACTTCCATATCTTTGACTGGTGCAGAGCAGATTCCTTGAAGATTCGCCTGATGGTGAGAGTCATGTTAGGATTTTTTCTGAAGGCTTTTCAGTTTTTCAAGCAGTTCTAGTAGGTATAGAGTTCTAAGAAGACCTCTGAGAGTCCTGGCCCTGGGTATGTACACACCTCCTCCCACTTATCCAATCAAACACTACTCCTGAAACTTCTGTGAAGAGATTTTGCAGATGTAATTAAGGCCTGAAATTACTTGCCCTTAAGAAAGGGAGATTATCCTGGTTGAATCCAATCTAATCAGGTGAGTCCCTAAAAGGGACAGGGCTTTTCCTGAAGAAAGAGATTTGAAGTGTGAGAAGGATTTGATGCAAGGGAGATTCTTTGTTGCTAGCTTCGAAGATGAGGGGGTCACATTATAAGAAATGGGAGTATTGTCTAGGAGCTGAGTCTAGCATCTGGAGGAAAGCCAGCAAAGGAACAGGGACCTTAGTCCTACAACCGCAAGGAATTGAACTCTACCACCACTTCATGACCATGGAAAAGGACTGTAAGCTCCAGATGAGAATGGATACCACCTGAATATTAGCCTTGTGAGACTCTGAGCAGAAAACCCAGTCACACCATGTCCACACTTCAACAGATGGAAATTGTGAATCAATAAATGGGTGTTAGAAGCTGCTAAATTTGTGGTCCTTTGTTATGCAGTAATAAAAATCTAATACTGTGGTGGCAGAATAGCAAGAACTGTCATAAAGTCACCTTTCAGTACAAGCTGAAAAGTATGCATCCTTGTTTGTTCTCTTAGAAAGAAATGATCAAGCTCCCTCTCTCCTACTGAAATAACCCCACTAAATAAGTGACTAGCCCAGAACTAATAGATAGTAAAGGAAAAATATTTATTTTCTCTTATTCTCTCTAGCCTTATATGACATGCATAGAAGAGCAGCACACACTGTAAACTCAAAAGTTCTATAAAGTGTACATGGCAATATTTTTAGGTATTTCAGAGAACTTTCTATACATTTGTATAAGTTCTCACAGCTACATCTGAAAGCTCCTCTATGTGCTCGTGGTTAAGTCCCCACATGACAAAGCTGTGTAGGAAAGAGAAATGTTGCCCTGTGCTTGTGTTTCCCTTATTTTCTGGGGAAGCAGCTTAGTTTTTGCTTTTTTGACAAGTTCCCAGATGTTTTTCACAGTCCACTGTTTAAATTTTCCTGTTTTTCTGTACATAATCTTTGTCAATAGAGTGTATTTTTTATAGGTAACTGAATCACTGCTGCTAAAGTTGTCGTATTAATGAAGAAGTCAGAGCTGTCCCTGTAGTGCTGTAAGAAAGAGCTTAGAGTGTCTGGTGAGAGCCCGGCCACTTTGCTGGAGCAATCATTGAACACAGTTTATTGGATCAAGGCCCATTATCCAGGTCGAGTCCTGATGCTTGTCAGGCTCCCCTGTTTACTCTTTGTGAATACAGGGAAGTCTTGATGCCAGATTTGGAGTGTGGCTGTCCCTTTTACTGATTCCGGTAATGTATACTTGACTCTTGTTCAAGCGAGGGCAGGAGGATATTCTCCATATTACTAAAGACATATATGGTGCTTATGTAATTAATTTCTTTTGGACTGAGGACCTTAAAGATGATTAAAATCTTGTATATGATGCTAAACTACTTTGTCTGACTTTGCTACATGAATAATTATTTATTATTATGGGCAGGTACTGATCATTTAAAACCGTTAATTCTGTTTGCTCTGATTGAGCAGGTTTCTTATGTTTAAGTGACCACATAGACTATCGCATTCTGAGGTGCGTTATTTTAAGAAAAGAAGAGTCTGGTAGGTTTATCTAAGATTACATCAAACTGGAGAAAGCCAAAGTAAGACCCCTCCTCTCACTGCTGAGCCAAATAAGCACTGGGGCTGAGCAATTAGTGCAACACAAAGGCAACCATTACCGTATCAGAGCAAACCCCCATTGTCTTCTTGCACCCTGCAGGCTTGACAAGTTTTCTCCTGGGCTGCAGCAACTGTGATTTGGAAAGTAAACAATTTCTATGTCACATGACTGGATTCTTCCTTTAGGCATCCAGATGCCTGCCCTGATCTCGGGACTCCAACCTCAGCCACCAGGCTGGTAAAACTCACTGAGACTGGTCCGTGTATTGGGGATTAAAATGAAAGGGGGTGGGAATAGGCATCTTGGTATTTTATCAAAGCATTGTGTTTCGAGGCCTAAAGGACATGAGTGAGAGTGAAGGTGATGGAGGCTGTTGGAGGTGGCAGTGCAAGGAAAGTGCCAGCAACATGCTTTAGATTTGAACTAATCCGGGAGAAGTTGATTTGGGAAATAGAAGAAGGAGACAAAGACTGCCTCCCTGTGTTCTGGAGTCTCTGTCTTCTGGATAAGATAGTACTCCTTTCCATGGCAAAAACCCAAATTACTTTTGCACCACCCTATACGATGTGACCCTTCAACTTGGAGAAGCCCGAGAAAGCTAGCCCATAGCAGTACTGGTGCCCTGTAAGTGGGTGCAGATACTTTTCTGTGCTTAGAGACATTTTCTTTTAGGTCTACCCACTTGGGAACCAGATACTCATATTTTTTACTTTTCTTCACATATCATCTACACAAAGGCATATAGAAACAAAACCCTCAAGAACAAAACAATATAGTGAAGTAGAATTTATCATCATGCTATTATCAGGAGAATTCCTTTAAGTAAATGAACAATGTAGGCAGAAGGACACACCCAAATATTCAAAATAAAATTCTGATTCTCTTCTCCTTTTTTGGATATACTGCAAACACAAATTTACCACAATTATTTCAGTTGGAGCAAACATGTCCGCTTATATTCCTCTTATGTCTCCAGTTAATCAGCTTTGTATTTGGCTAATGAAGATTAGAAGCAAAAAAGCCTTCAGAGCAGCTTTCTGGAGAAACCATTTCTCTCTTGAGTGATGACCTCAGGACTACATGGGATCTATGGAGTTATCTGATTGATGGCATGCCACTCATCCATAATGATCTCTATAAAGCTGGACAATCATTCTCTAGATTGGTGCTGGTCGTTGAATAGGGTGCTGGGGAGTATTTTAGGCCATTGCATGGTGCAAGAGGATATGGATCTATTTATGATATCTTATGCAAATTTGCCCATGCATAGAAGTAAGTGGCATCAGAGGTTTTTTGTTTATATTTAGACTGTCCCTGGGAGGAGTGTGTCATATTGTGGCAAGTATATATTTCATTTGACATCATATTTTAAATAACCATTGGAAGAATTTAGAAACTGATTGTATTGGAAGTTTCTTCCTAAAATAGCCATTTATTAATTAACTCATATTTAATTTTTCAGCTGCTCTACATTTCATTTCTCCATCCCTTTTTTCTTCCCTGATAAACTTATAAAAACTATAATTTATTTAAAAGAAGAGGTGCTTCAAAATTGCTTATTCTTATTAGTTAAATCCAAAATACGCATTAACTTATTGCATACAGTAAGATTTATTCCGGTTAATTCCACGTCAGGAGACAGATTGGGTTATGACACAGCTTTAGCAGGTGTCTCATTTGGGCTGTATCTTAGCTGAGTCAGATGTATAAGGTGCTGACCCAGGTTGTATGGCAGAATAGTTAATTCCACATACTTTGGAGTCAGAAAGATCTCTGTTGAATGCTGATTGCATTATTTATTGACTTGGTGACCTCTGTGATTTTCTTTAAGCCTCAACTTGCTCATCTATAACATGGGCATTCTATTTCATAAGGCCGATGTGGTGAGGATTAATTGAGATAATGTCTGTGAAGTCCTTAGCAGGGTGCTCAGCACATTGTAAGTCCTCAAAGATGGCCACTCTTAATAGTCATACCATCACCATTATCTAGCATTTGTTGGAGGTATACAGTAATTCTCTTAAAGGCTATAGCTAGAATAACCTTTTGTCCCATGCTCTACATCTGTCCCTGCTGGAGTCTGCATGATGATGACACCTGTGGTATAATTTGTCCACTTCATTACCAGCTCTTCAAAGGTTCTTTAAACTCTCTTAACCAAGGAGATGAGAAAACTGGTGAGCTGGGTTGAACTCCCTCACAGCAATTCAGTGCTTCCAAGCAATACTGCAAGTGAGGGCAAAGAGGGGTGAAGATTGGAGGACACTCCAGGGACCCATTTCTAGTGCCTCACCTACTTCTCAGTTTCTGGAAATTGTACTGTTGCTTTCTATTCTTGATTTCCAGAGGGCCTTGGAATAATCCTACATCAGACAGTAAGTAATGTTTTCTGTCCCACAGTCATGAGCAGGCTTTGCTTCAACTCCAGCCACCAAACTCCTATTACCAATTTCTGACCAGCCTCTCTGGGATCAGAAAACCATGCAGGCCTTGTCAAACCATGTCCTTTAGAAAAGAGCTCTGGTTGAATAGTTGTGGGAGATTCTGTGTATACGATTACTCTCTGGAAAATTCAAAATGTGCATTAGCATACGAAAAGCTCTACACCTGAACTAAAGGAACTTGGTTAAACAAGCACTTCATCAAACATATTTAACCAAAGAATCATCAACTGCTTCCTAGACTCCTAAACACAATATCTCACTCTTTGGGAGACTTTGGAATAGTAGTTTGCTCTGCCATTGTGAGAAGCATAATTTTCTTTTAACCATTTTACTTCCATGCCTGCAGAAGAGGCCATGGTTAGCCAAAGAAGGGATTTTTTTTTTAACAGTTCTGCTTTTACTTTATTTTATTTTATTTTTTATTATTATACTCTAAGTTCTAGGGTACATGTGCACAATGTGCAGGTTTGTTACATATGTATCCATGTGCCATGTTGGTGTGCTGTACCCATTAACTCGTCATTTACATTAGGTATATCTCCTAATGCTATCCCTCCCCCCTCCCCCAACCCCATGACAGGCCCCACTGTGTGATGTTCCCCTTCCTGTGTCCAAGTGTTCTCATTGTTCAATTCCCACCTATGAGTGAGAACATGTGGTGTTTGGTTTTCTGTCCTTGCGATAGTTTGCTGAGAATGATGGTTTCCAGCTTCATCCATGCCCCTACAAAGGATATGAACTCATCCTTTTTTATGGTTTCATAGTATTCCATGGTGTATATGTGCCACATTTTCTTAATCCAGTCTATCATTGATGGACATTTGGGTTGGTTCCAAGTCTTTGCTATTGTGAATAGTGCCTGAATAAACATACATGTGCATGTGTCTTTCTAGCAGCATGATTTATAATCCTTTGGGTATATACCCAGTAATGGGATGGCTGGGTCAAATGGTATTTCTAGTTCTAGATCCCTGAGAAATCACCACACTGTCTTCCAAAATGGTTGAACTAGTTTACAGTCCCACCAACAGTGTAAAAGTGTTCCTATTTCTCCACATCCTCTCCAGCACCTGTTTCTTCCTGACTTTTTAATGATCCCCATTCTAACTGGTGTGAGATGGTATCTCATTGTGGTTTTGATTTGCATTTTTCTGATGGCCAACGATGATGAGCATTTTTTCATGTGTCTGTTGGCTGCATAAATGTCTTCTTTTGACAAGTGTCTGTTCATATCCTTCGCCCACTTTTTGATGGGGTTGTTTTTTTTTGCTTGTAAATTTGTTTAAGTTCTTTGTAGATTCTGGATATTAGCTCTTTTTCAGATAGGTAGATTGCAAAAATTTTCTTTTAAAAGAACTAGAGAAGCAAGAGCAAACACTTTCAAAAGCTAGCAGAAGGCAAGAAACAACTAAGATCAGAGCAGAACTGAAGGAGATAGAGACACAAAAAACCCTTCAAAAAAATCAATAAATCCAGGAGTTGGTTTTTTGAAAAGATCAACAAAATTGATAGACCACTAGCAAGACTAATAAAGAAGAAAAGAGCAAAGAATCAAATAGACGCAATAAAAAATTATAAAGGGGATATCACCAACGATCCCACAGAAGTATAAACTACCATCAGAGAATACTGTCAATACCTCTACACAAATAAACTAGAAAATCTAGAAGAAATGGATAAATTCCTCGACACATACACCCTCCCAAGACTAAACCAGGAAGAAGTTGAATCCCTGAATAGACCAATAACAGGCTCTGAAATTGAGGCAATAATTAATAGCCTACCAACCAAAAAAAGTCCAGGACCAGATGGATTCATAGCTGAATTCTACCAGCGGTACAAGGAGGAGCTGGTACCATTCCTTCTGAAACTATTCCAATCAATAGAAAAAGAGGGAATCCTCCCTAACTCATTTTATAAGGCCAGCATCATCCTGATACCAAAGCCTGGCAGAGACACAACCAAAAAAGAGAATTTTAGATCAATATCCCTGATGAATATCAATGCAAAAATCCTCAATAAAATACTGGCAAACCGAATCCAGCAGCACATAAAAAGCTGTCCACCATGATCAAGTGGGCTTCACCCCTGGGATGCAAGGCTGGTTCAACATATGCAAATCAATAAACATAATCCATCATATAAACAGAACCAAAGACAAAAATCACATGATTATCTCAATAGATGCAGAAAAGGCCTTTGACAAAATTCAACAGCGCTTCATGCTAAAAACTCTCAATAAATTAGGTATTGATGGGACATATCTCAAAATAACAAGAATTATTTATGACAAACCCACAGCCAATATCATACTGAATAGGCAAAAACTGGAAGCATTCCTTTTGAAAACTGGCACGAGACACAGATGCCCTCTCTCACCACTCCTATTCAACATAGTGTTGGAAGTTCTCACCAGGGCAATCAGGCAGGAGAAAGAAATAAAGAGTATTCAGTTAGGAAAAGAGGAAGTCAAATTGTCCCTGTTTGCAGATGTCATGATTGTATATTTAGAAAACCCCATCGTCTCAGCCCAAAATCTCCTTAAGCTGATAAGCAACTTCAGCAAAGTCTCAGGATACAAAATCAATGCACAAAAATCACAAGCATTCTTATACACCAATAACAGACAGACAGAGAGCCAAATCATGAGTGAACTCCCATTCACAATTTCTTCAAAGAGAAAATACCTAGGAATCCAACTTACAAGGAATGTGAAGGACCTCTTCAAGGACAACTACAAACCACTGCTCAACAAAACAAAAGAGGACACAAACAAATGGAAGAACATTCCATGCTCATGGATAGAAATAATCAATATTGTGAAAATGGCCATACTGCCCAAGGTAATTTTTAGATTCAATGTCATCCCCATCAAGCTACCAATGCCTTTCTTCACAGAATTGGAAAAAACTACTTTAAAGTTCATATGGAACCAAAAAGGAGCCCACATTGCCAAGACAATCCTAAGCCAAAAGAACAAAGCTGGAGGCATCACACTACCTGACTTCAAACTATACTACAAGGCTACAGTAACCAAAACAGCATGGTACTGGTACCAAAACAGAGATACAGACCAATGGAACGGAACAGAGCCCTCAGAAATAATACCACACATCTACAACCGTCTGATCTTTGACAAACCTGACAAAAACAAGAAATGGGGAAAGGATTCCCTATTTAATAAATGGTGCTGGGAAAACTGGCTAGCCATATGTAGAAAGCTAAAACTGGATCCCTTCCTTACACCTTATACAAAAACCATTTCAAGATGGATTAAAGACTTAAATGTTAGACATAAAACCATAAAAACCCTAGAAGAAAACCTAGACGATACCATTCAGGTCATAGGCACTGGCAAGGACTTCATGTCTAAAACACCAAAAGCAATGGCAACAGAAGCCAAAAATTGACAAATGGGATCTAATTAAACTAAAGAGCTTCTGCATAGCAAGAGAAACTACCATCAGAGTGAACAAGAAGGGATGTTTTAAATGAAATAAACTATTAGAATTTATCTACTAAACTGTATGGTTCTCATTGTGAGAAGAGCCCAAACATATATTACCGATATTACACCACTTTTGAATTGGGCTCATTTCATAGCTGTATCCTCTATTTTTGCCAAGATTTACTTACTGCTGGGATCAGGAAAAGAACAGACATAGCACACGCTGTAGCGACGAGCAGTTTCCATACATGCTGATGAATGTTTACATTTGTTGCATGCAGTCACGAACACTGTAATTAAACATAAACAGAAGTAATTCTGATCACAGTTCTAAGTACAATTTGCATTCAAAAATTAGAAAGTAAAATGTAATGATATATCCTAACCAAACCAAACCAAAACAAACAAACAAACAAACAATCCCCCAACTCCCATCTTTTCAAATACATACGTCGGGCCTTCCTCTTTGTAAAAAATCAGGTCAAATGAAAATCACCATCTCTCTATAGCAATGATTGGCATGTTGCACTAAGTTAGCTGACTGTCATGAGAGGATGTTATGGAAGAAACACAGAAAATTAGGTTACTTCATGGATATTTAGTTTCACACTTCTAAGGCTTTACAAATAAGATGATTACCCATAATGTTGTAATGTTAGCTTTGTAAATGTTATAATTAAACAACCGTAATCTTTTTTCTTTTCTTATCTTTCTCTTTTTACACACACGTTCTATGTATCATCTTTGCATTGGATCTGTCCTTTTAATTAGAAAACCTTTTGGAAATTTTCAAGAGTTTTTTAGTTATAATTGATATTTCTGAAAATCAGAACTAGGCACTTCAGTAAAAGGAAATTTTTGTCTTTGTGTGTAAAAACTTTGTTTTTCTTTATGACGATGATGTTAATCAGTTTTTAGCATTCAGGATAAGTTTTGTCAAATTATACTTTAAAGCTCATGCAAGTGCAAAAGAAAATATTAATACACTGGCATCCAGAGAGCAAGTTCGTAGCTTTCATAACTCACTTCCATGGCATTTCAAACTTAGAAAGTTTGAATCAGTTCTGAGTTGAACTCAGGTAGAATTCTTAGATGTCACTAAATTGGTCCTCCCTAAGCCACTTTATATCACCTCATCTCACCTTCTCAGTCTGCAAAATAGAGGATCATGATGTCTTTCTCAGCATACTTTATGAGAATGTGTAAGCGATTAGTCAAGCAGTATTTAAGTGCAGTTTGAATTTATAGAAGAAGATACCAGGTTATTGGATTAAGTAATAGATTTTTCTTCCTTCCTAGGATGTGAACAATAGGAAATATTAGAACAATGAGAAATATATTTGATATTAGATAGTAACAACCAGTGATCGTGATAACAACACTGGACCTGAGTTTATGGAGAGCATTAGGAATGGAGCATTTTTCAAGCACTGGTTGATGTGTATCCAAAATGTTTATAGTGGCTGTCAGGTCCCTTGTGGCTTTGTCCTCAGCGGGTACTGGGATCATCTCAGTCCTGACCAGTGGTCAAAGCATTGTGTCTGAGAGGCTTCCCGTCAATACTTCTGTGGTTCTTATGACATCAATGCTATATGGACACTAATATCACCACTATAAATTGCTTTATTCATGAATACAAGACCTAGGTTACTTACTACCTTCCATGTAATAAAAATAGTCACAGCTATAATAAATGCTTAATATTTACAGTATGTATAGATGTGGATATTATAGGAAGAATGTTCTATGTAGTTAGAAAGGAATAATAGCAATTATAAACAACCCTCAGACCTTTGGGTTGAAAGATCATTATTATAACAACACTACAAAAAAAATAGACTTTGAAAAATAGTCTTTGGAATAAAAATAAACAAAGAAGAAAATGATTCTGTGAAAAAACACTGTTTGAAATAATATGTTCATTTCATTTCTATAGTTCTATTTGAAAAATGTGCAACTTTCTGAAGCAGAATGACAGCAAGTAATACAGTAGAATGACTTGGCTGTGTTACATATTTGGGTGTGAAAGTGAATTTCTTTGAAGTCATAAATACACTCCGGATATTTAGTTAAAGTTTAGATTTCCTAAAAGTTCTGCTACAACCAGATTTTTAAAGCCAACCAAAACAAAATCTGTAATTTATTTTCCTATTACCTTTTTATGAGGTCTTATAGCCACGGTAACTTCTTTTGTGCTTTGAGATTTACAGGTTAGGTCCTGTAAAAGGGCACTTGTATGACCCTCTAGGCCTGCGCTGTATATCTTGCGTTTTCATTTCCAGCCCACTAAAATTAATAAAAGCATCTTTATGTAAGGGTGTCCTTATAATGTTCAAATGACCGGAGTACAAGAGGTTAAATAATATTACCGCCACTGTTCCTGAATTTCCACACTACAATCAAGTGAATTGACATAGAAGATAGAGTCGGCAAAGCTCACAGTCCCTTGTGCCAGATTTCAAATGGGAACTAAAATATTGATAGAATTCCATTTGGGATATTATCAAGAGTGTGGTATCTTTACTTTGAATTTTATTCGTGTTTGCGATATTATTCAAAAATCGAATGCGCCACACTGCTGCTGTCACTCAGAGTGCCCTTGTTGTTTGACTAAGGGAGACTTCAGCTTCAGGGCGCTGTGCTATTCAGCAAAACATGGTGCCAGGAGGGGCAGCTTTGCCTGCCTGGGAGAAATATCCTCCTTTATAAATAGCCCTATGTTGCCCGTGTCTTTTAGACTACTTAAAGCATTTTTAGCTAAAAATACACAGCCATTCACAACAGAAATATTTTTCTATCCCCATCTTTTATTTTTTACCTTCTAATTTACTACATAATAGGAAGAGCATTTCATGCCCCAGCATTCTTTTCTTTTAATATCCTGTATTGTACAGTGTTTTTCCCCCTTAAAGACTCCTTTAAAGTACAGTAACAATATTTGGACTTCATCATAAAATATTACCTTTTTATTCCAAGACAATAATGACTCTAAGATTAAAAATATATATATATTAAAAAGAGAGAAGAGAAAGAAACCCCAAACAAGCCACACCATCCAGTTTCGGCCAAGCTGCCAAATCCTATTACAGATTCAATCCTATTAAAACGTTCCCAGGTTTAAGCCTGCTTTGGAGTTTTTCATAGGAGTGCATGACCCCTACCCAAACCCCTACATGTGTGGTCAGGGACCTCAGGATAATCATAAACTGCCTGGACTCCCATTAATCTCGCACAGTCAGATATTAGTGCTTGTAAATCAGCACCTAAACAAGAACAATAGTTAAAGCCATCAATAGTCTTTTAATGAGGCAGATCAAAAACAAATGAAAGCAGCAGGACACTCGGATTTGCCAAGGAGGGGAAGGGGAAATCCATAAGCTTTGTCTGATTTCTTATAGAAAAAAGTAGATGGATTTAGTCCAGGTCCTGTCTTCTAAACTACTGCATTCACTGTTTAAAAAATAAAATAAAATAAAACAAGATTATTTCCAGGAATTTTCTTTATTTTCTTTGTTTGGGGCATAGCAGCTGTCACTTTCTTTTCTTTCTCTTCTTTTCTCTTTATAGTTCCACACACACATATATCGACATATGTACATTAATGTACACATATTTAAAAGAGGAGGCCATTGCAAATAATAACTGCATGTAGACACATTAGGCAATGATCAGTTACACTTTGTCAAGAATTTTAATTACTTATCTGCATCCTTGCAGGCATTTTATGTGCTTTTGAAATTCCCACAGATGTTTTTTGTCCATTAGAAAAAGGGGGAAATATCTTGTTTTGTAATTCCTTGTTTTAAAGAAGGAGAAAAATAAAGCAAGATAGGATTTATTATCTAGCACGCATGTGCAGCAGCATTATAATGGTTGCCAAGCAACCTAAAGGAACCATATCATAGTAAAGGGAGGGGCAAATGAATGAACAGATGCATGGGATTAGATATGGGAGGGAAAGGGAAGAGGTTGCCTTGAAATAAGCTCACCTTGGCACATTAGTTTTTGATTGTGATTTGCTCTTATTCAGGTACATTTATCTTAAATAGTTCCTTTTGATTTTGCATGATATTTTTATTTTTTGCTACCGTTTTAGTTTACTATTTGACTAAAAGGCTCAAAAAGAAGAGGTGGGAAATATTTGTAAAATTTGTGTTCTTTCATTGTTGCCAATAACATTCTTTCAAGACAATATTTTAAGAAGAGGCAAGGTACAGAAACAAGTGTTCTTGTACATTTGCTCCAACATCACCCAATACAAACACACACATTCAAAAGTTGTATTTCTTTGGTAGTGTAAAAAAAAACATATATTTACTTCAAATTGGCAGCTTACTAAGCCACTTTCATTGTTGTGTTAAAACCTCACTATATATATAATTTTATGTATTTATATATATAATTTATGTGCATGTTCACACAGATACACATACATATTACAGAGAGCCTATAGATAAAAATAAAACACTCTCTCTTCTTGTTGCCAGATTACAGATGTTTAGGATGTGCACCACACCTCTTCTCCAAGGGGTGAAGACAGATTCATAGTATATACCCAAAACAATTTAAATGGTTGACTTGACAACACCTATTCTTAGGTAATAGCATACAACCCAGTTTGTTCATTTAAAGTACAAAAACCTCGAATTCCATGGATTTCATAGCAAATATCACTAGATAATCCAATCCTGCAGTAGAAGTAAGCTCAATGTTAAATTCTAGAAGGCAGCCTGGCCTCAGCGCATCCTGGAAGCCCATTTTCAGCCTCCAAATGGGAAAGAGTATAAACTATTTTCAACTCCTTTGAATTATTTAATAAACAAAACTGATCATAAATTAGTAAATGTCTCAAGTGAGACTGCCGAATAGAGAACATTCAACTGGGAAATGCCTACCATGATAGTTTCTGAAAAAGCAAGGTATGAACCGTCAGTTTCTCAGAACTAGCCACCAAAAGAGGACGACAGGTTTAATTGATGTAGCAGGTGTATGACGGCAGAATTCACACCACCCGAGGGCTTCTGTTACTTCCCACCTCAGAGCAGCTGCATGCATGAGGAGGGCTGGTCTTGTAGCAAGATGTTGACTGGGCCAGTTCATGCACTTGGGGACTTTTCCTTTTGGACTATGTAATAAAATTGTAGCTTTGTAGTTTTCTCAAGAAATGGCATGTGGAGTTGCATTTTAATCGTAAATTGACATTAAGCTATTGGGGAATTATACTGTGTCTACTAATATATATTCCACCTCTCTTGCCCTAATGAGATCACCTTACACTCACTGGCACTGATGCAAACATTTAGAGCTGAGTGCTCAAAAGAGGCTGGAGTACAAATGGTACATAATTCATTACCCTGGGAAACATGGATTTCAATGCAACATAATGCAAGGTGCTCTCAAGTATTCCTGAGGCAGGAAGAGTGTACCACAGTCATAGTGAAGTGACTGTTTACACCAACCTGATTCCACTTGTTCTTTACTAGAGCTAACAAGCCCTCTACTGTATTATTGCACCCAGTTCTACTTACTGGACTCCACAGACAAGTCCTTGCAGCTAGAGGAACAAACCCTTTGTTGCACAGTCTATGAAGCAGCAGAAACTTCTGTGAATAAAAAAGAAAAATTCTGGAAATTCTAAAGGATGTTTCTCCGAGCTTTTTTAATAAGGTCTCAGCAACCTGGAGAATTTGCATTTAGAATAACAAACTCTATTTTTCACCCCTCACTTTTCCACCCCCATTCACTCTTGTCAATAACCAAAAGATGGCAGCATTTTACCCATCATTCATGAGTGACACCTTTGGTGGAGCTAGGTTTGCAATTTCACTTTCATGTGCATTGTTATTTCCTCTTGGTACTAAATGTGGATTGATAACACTGTGGCATTTATTAACAACAGCAACAACAACAAAAATGCAATTTCAAAAAAACTCAGAAGATTAATTATACAAATTACGGTGTAAAGCATCAGAGTTCCTCTTTGATGAGGAAATACACACCAGTCTGACTGCAGTGACTACACAGAGCAATCAAGCTTTGCTAGTGGTATCAGAACCCAAACACCTTGTCCCTCCAGCCATTAGGCTTTCTTCTTGGCTGTGGGCCAGGGAAAGGAGTAGGGACTATTGGGCTTGCAGGCTGAACCTAATGTGGGGGAAATGAAAAAGGGCACTAATGAACATATCTGACAGGGTTTCCACCAGGCCAGGCCTGCTCCTCATCTCTTCTCAAAGCACGCCATAATAACAAGGGCAAGATTGGTTAAGTATCTGAAAGAGGGTGTGCCAAGCACATTTACTCCTGGGATTTGAAAATGGAATAGATCCTTATCCACGAGGGTTTAGGGACACTTCTTCCCAAGATGCCTTTCAAAGCCCATTCTAGACATTTGTCTGAATCATTTGATTCCCAAGAAGATCAACGGCGTCGTTTAAAAAATCTCATTGTGAGAAACAGGAGAGTACAGCTTTGCCACAGTTGTGTGCAAAGGGAACGTGGTCCTGTTTTTCTGAGTGTTCATTATAAATAGGGTCGACATTTGAAAGCAATAAGCCTCATCAGCTTCCCACTCACTCTGTGTAGTCTGCTCATCCAGGCTGTTATTTTCCTCTCCTGCATTGTTGATTAGCATTATCAAGATACAGTGATAGGCCTCATTCCCTCCTAAGTACCAAGATTCACATTTTTCTTGAAACGAGGGCAAAAATCCCTTTATTATAAAATAGGGGTGCATGCTCAAATTTGTTTAAAATGACCAAAGAAAATGTAGGCAAAAATATTCTTTAGAAGCCTCTGGTGTTTGTTTAAAAGAAATCAATTATTTTGGGGTTAGTTAGAAATATTTTTAAATATAATTTCAACATCTATTTTAAAATTCAGGGTGCATATGTGCAGGTTTGTTGTATAGATATACTGCATGATGCCAAGGCTCTGGGTATGATTGATCTTCTCATCGGGGTTACTTTTGCCTTTGGACACAATATATGTAAATCTGAGAGAAGGATTTTGTTCCTCCTACTTTTGGGTGCACTAACAGAGCTTATTTCCCACTCTTATCTTTTTCTAGGACTCTAGGACATTATATTGGTGTGTGACAGCGGAAATGTGAATTCCTTTATAGTATATAATGGGCACCACTAACCAGAATGATAAATGTTGATCTGTCATAGAATCAAAACTGTAGAGTGACTTTATAGACATAATCAACATGTGTACACTGTTTATATAGTTAAATATGTACAATGAAACATAAGATTGAGGTGGATTTATATTTAAGAAACTCCATGAAGGGATTCAACAGGAAATTGTAATTCAGTTTCACAAGTGTCTAGTCTTTAGAAATAACGCATTTATGTATAAATAAACTTGAATTCGAAACATCTAGAATTATACAGAGAGCAAAGTTGGCTGGTAAAAGTTGGCAAATGCAAGCAACTGTCTAAACATGAGTTTGAATCCCAGTTCTTTGTCTTCAAGCTGTGAGGCCCCGGGGAAGTGCTTGACTTTTCTGTGGCTGAAGTCCTTCATCTGTAAAATGGTGATACAAACAGCTACCACATGGAACTCTGTTGGGATTAAATAAGATGTCCATAAAGCACCCACCATGCTTACCATGGAGGAAGTGGTATGATTCTTCTTCTTATTAAGACATGTATTAATATTCATAATAATATCTGACTATTTGAAGGCATAACCCTACCAAAAGTCACTAAGTTGTGGGCCTAAAAAAGACAATAGTGCATTTCTATTCTTTCCTACTCTCCTAAAAATTAGGAATCATTTCTTTTTCAACATGGCAACTTTACTTCTAAATCAACATTTTTTGTGCCTCCCTTTTCCCCGACATACTGGCTCTCGCTTGTCTTTCATTTCTGTCAGTGATATCATCATCATGTTTTCAATGATTAAGACGTACATTTGTTCTTTTACTTATTTATCCAAAAGTTATATGGCTTGCTGTTATCACAGAGCACTATTCTGGGTGTTGTGGGGGAGGGGAAAACCAAAGTATGTTAGATTTTCTGCCTTTAAGACTATATTTTATTAAAAAAGATGACATAAACTTAGGTAACTGTGACTCAAAGGACTCTTAGGTAGCGTTAATGTTGTTTGCAGGGGAGCTCTTCCATGACTTCCTCCCTCCCCCACACATACACTAGGATTAATGTCTCCCTGCTAAGTGTTTGCATGCACCCCCAGGTATGGTTCTATTGCATTACATTATCATCAACATTGATTTTATGCTCTGTCACTCCACACATCCAATTCATCAGAAAGTCTTATAGACTACCTCCAAGTTTATATTGAATTTGCCCATTTCTCACCATCTTTTCTAAGCCCCTATCAGCTATTTGCCCAGGTTATTGCAAGAGCCTCATAATTAGTATCTGTGATTCCATTCTTGCTTCCTTACAGTCCACTCTTTCCCCAGAAATCCCTTACAGTTCCAGCTACAACCTTTTCAGTTCTTCAAATGTGCCAAGCAAGTTCTGGCTTTATGGTCTTTATAACAGCTATTTCCTTGGCCTAGAATACTCTTCCCCCAAGCTTTATGTGTCTGCCTTCTTGTCCTTCATGTATTAGATTAAACATCATTCCTATCCAAATCAGCCAAGTAGTCACTCCCTATCATATCATCCTATTGTCGTTGTTAGTACAAAACTTATCACTATCTGTTATGTTCTTGCTGATCCACTTAGAGCAGCATCCCCAACCTTTTTGGAAACAGGGACCAGTTTTGTGGAAGAAAATTTTTCCACAGATCAGGGAGCAGGGGATGGTTTTGGGATGGTTCAAGCAGGTTACATTTATTGTGCACTTTATTTCTATCATTATTACATTATAATAAATAATAAAATAATTATAGAACTCACCATAATGTGGAATCAGTAGGAGTCCTGAGCTTGTTTTCCTGCAACTAGATAGTCTCATCTGGGGGTGATGGGAGACTAACAGATCATCAGGCATTGGATTCTCATAAGGAATCCACAACCTAGATTCCTCACATGCATAGTTCATGTTAGGGTTCGCGCTCCTATGAGAATCTAAGGCTGCCGCTGATCTGACATGAGGGGTAGGTCAGGTGGTAATGTGAGCAATGTGGAGTGGCTGTAAATACAGATGAAGCTTCACTTGCTCACCCACCACTTACTTCCTGCTGTGCAGCCTGATTCCAAACAGGCCACTCTATCTTGTATATGTTATATCCTCAGAGTCTAGAGTGGTGTCTAGGATATAATTGGTGCTTGATAAATATTTGTTAAAGTAACAAATAATTGATGATTGTTATGCATTTGTTTCTACTAATAAATATTGAGACTCCTGAGTTAGGGACCATAGTTCATTTGTCTTTGATTTGCTGGTGCCTAGCACGTAATAGAAGGTTCAAAAAAAGGCTAGCTGTTTTGAATTGAATAAATGAAGAAATGATTTATTGCTGGAGTGATTCTGAAAAGCATCATAGAGAAGGCATTTGAGCTGAAACTTCAGCAGATGACAAAAGATGATAGTACTTCATTTCAGGCAGCAGGTACTATATGGGATAAAGTTTGGAACTGGAAACATTTAATGATTTTTTTAAAGGTAATGGTGAGTAGTAATTCAGATAAGTTGGAGTTTGTATAAGAGGATAACATACGGTAAAGATGGCAGGGAGGTTGGAAACAGTTAAGACTGATCTCAAAAGCTTAACCAGCAATATGAAGTACACATATTCAGTAGGCAGAGGAGAGATTCATAGCTGTGATTTAAGGGGGTTAAATGGCAGCTTTGTGAAGCATAAATTGCGGGGAGGAGATGGATAAGAGAGCTAGTTAGGGGCTAGTATAATAGTTTGGAATAAAGTAACCAAAATTAAAGTGGTGGTAGAATGTGGGAAAAAAAAACAATTAAAAAGCCTGATAGAACTTGATATAAAGGGTTCAGAACAGAACTCACTTTGAAGTTCCAAAAATGCATTATGGGGAGAATGGATTATATATAAAGAAAATTAGAGAGAAGTCAAAAGGAAACTCAGGTTTACTGTGAGACTGATAAGACCTGATTTTATTTTTTGCAAGTGAATTTTTAATTTATGACAAAAATTTCTACAGGTATTGTCTACCAGGCAGCCTGAAATGTGGTACTGGAGCTCAGAAGACTTCAATAGGTAAAGGAGATTTGGAGATGATCTCTTTGGATGTTCTAGCTGAAGCGAATCTTGGTGCAAAGTTAGAAAGGACCTTGTGAACTGCCCATAGGTCTTGAGAACTGCCCACAGTCATTTTCTTTAAAATCTTCTTTTAAAATCATGAAATCATTTCAACTTTTATCTTTATTCCCCACATCTAATCAGTACTGAATTACCACCTTCCTTTTAAATGTAGTTCACATCGTTTTCCTTCCCTCTGCCCAGAACATTGAAATTGTTTCTTAACTGTTGCTTTCTACTCTTCCTGATTTAGCCTCTGTTGTCAAAGAAAGTTGTTCGTTTCCTCATCTTGACTCATCTACACAAAGCCTTCTAGATGTGTGCCACTTTGTATGAAAAGAATTGATAGGTGCAGTGGGAAAATCCACCCTTACTCTTGGCAATGTATTGTAACTAAAGTCATTTTATATGGGCAAAACATTGCAGCCTGAGCAAATGGGGATGAGGTTTAAGTTGCAGCTTAGAGAGGGGTCATCTGGAATAGTATATCTGGTCCTGATATACCTGTGCTGTCCAATATGGTAGTCACTAGCTATATGTGGCTACAGAGTATTTGAAAAAGTGGCTAGTCCAAATTAAGATGCAGTATAAGCATAAAATACACACCAGATTTTAAAGATGCAGTATAAAAATAGCATGTTATACAAAATGTAAAAGGTTATATGTTGAAATGATAATATCTTAGATATATTGAATTAAATGAAACACATTTTAAAAATTAATTTTACCTGTTATTATGGACTGAATTGTGTCCCCCTGAAAAATCATATACTGAAGACCTAATTCCCAGTGTGACTGTATTTGGAGATATGGAATTTAAGGAGATAAAGTTAAATGAGGTCATTTGGGTGGGCCCTAATCCAATAGGACTGGTATCTCTATAGGAAGAGGAAGAGATGTCAGGGTTGCATGTGCATAGAGAAAAGGCCGTGAGAGGCACAGCAAAAAGGTGGCCATCTACAAGCCAAGGAGAAAGGCCTCAGAATAATTTATCCTGCAGCACCTAGATCTTGGAGTTGCAGGCTTTAGAATGGTGAGAAAATACATTTTTGTTGCTTAAGCTACCTAGCCTGTGGTATTTTGTTGTGGCAGCCTTAGCAAGGTAATACATTTATCTTTAAATTTTTTTAAAAATGTGACTACTAGAAACTTTAAAATGACTTACCAGGTTTGCATTTGTGGCTTACATAATATTTCTGTTGGACATTGTTCTAAACCCATGGAGAGCAGGTGCAAGCATAGTTTTGTAGGAGCCAAGATGATTTCACAGATGACAGCTCAATACTCAAGAAACAAGAGAATCATGCTGGGTTTTGGTGGAGGAGAGAATAGAGTGGCAGTAGGAGCTGATATTGGTTCTCTGTAATCCAGGGGGCCTCAGTGAACTTGCTTCAGCCCCTCCCCAGCAAAAGCATCGATAATACCTTTTTAGACTGTATAAAAGTGGTTTATTGAGGAATTAATTTGGATGAAACATAACTTATCTTTGGTTGGAGTTAGCAAGAGTTTTGAAAAAATGTGGAAGCATGAAGAGAAACAGGTGAGTTTGAAACATATTCCAGTTTGTGGTAGGTAAGGTAACAAAGACATGACTGAGAAATATGCCAGACTAGGAGCTTTTGAGTATCTAGGACAACTGAGAGATGAAAGGAGAAGGTTCTGGAAGAGCTATGAAAGAAGAATCAAGAGATGATTTGGCTTAGTCCATGTCTCATAGGATATAAAATGATTAAATAAGTTATGATTAATATAGAGCTTCAAACAGTCCCATGATATTGTTCTACTCCACTTCTTTCTCTAATCCTGGGGACCCAATAAGCAGGCTTCCTTGTCCTAAGAAGGGACCTGATGGGGTGAGGAGCCTCATCACATTCCCTGTTCTATACTCGTTCCATGGAGGATTTGGGGGCACTTACAAGTGGGGCACTGCAGTAGAACTTTAGATGACATTCCCAGTGCAGGAATCAGGTAACCTATTTGAATTTTCATCTTACACTTGACTTCAAATAATACCTATATGAATTTTTCTGTTTAGGCTCTTTTCAGAAATATTTCCTTCTCCATGACACATTTGTGATTCTGCATCCAAAGGCCTCTTTTAAGGACATGATACAGATTCTATCATCTGCCTTCATGTCCAGGTCTCTCTTCTTCCCACTCTTTTTGGTGTGAGAATGGCTAGGTAGACATTGGGCAAAGACAGGCTTGGGATACCCCATCTGGGTTATAGGAGCTTGGTTCTAGGCATTAAACAATTGTTGAGTAAAAAATAGCAAAAGGCAAAGAAAAGATTCTGTAGTAAAATCTTCTCTAATTAAAAAAATAAAGATTATAAAAATATACAACATAAAGAAATCTTAAACATAAGAATAAAAGACTAGACATCATGGAACAAAGTGTTGCATTTAGTTCAAAAGTCTAGCTGAGGAGTTTAGCTATGAGCTCCAAGCTATAAACTTGCTGAAGGCCAAAGTTAAAAATGGATGGAATATGAAACATCTTTGCTTAAAAATGATAAGGTTTACTTTTTACTTAAAAATGAGTCTATAGCCCAGATGCCAAAAGGAATTGATCATAGATGTCTACCCTACATGATGTCTTTCACATATAGGTACACAATACATTTTTGCTGAATGTAGAATGGAGTACCACTTGGCATTTGTACCATCTGACCTTGCATCCCATATGTTTAGCTTTGCAATTATTTTAGAAGTAGCAATATTGGCCAGGCGCGGTGGCTCACGCCTGTAATCCCAGCACTTTGGGAGGCTGAGGCAGGCAGATCACAAGGTCAGGAGATTGAGACCATCCTAGCTAACACGGTGAAACCCCGTCTTTACTAAAAATACCAAAAAAAAAATTAGCTGGGCGTGGTGGCGGGCGCCTGTAGTCCCAGCTACTCGGGAGGCTGAGGCAGGAGAATGGCGTGAACCCGGGAGGCGGAGCTTGCAGTGAGCCGAGATCGCGCCACTGCACTCCAGCCTGGGCGACAGAGCGAGACTCTGTCTCAAAAAAAAAAAAAAAAAAAAAAAAGAAGTAGCAATATTTGCCTATAACTCGTACTACGTTCTCATCCTCCTTTTCCTCCTCCTTTTTCTAAGAAAACATAGTTGACTCATACTCAAATAAATGATCGTTTCCAGCTTGGCTGATATATTTGGTCAGTTAAAAAAAAAAAAGTGACAGGAACAAGATACAGATAGTTTCTTCTTCCAACTTTAACATTTAGTATCATGGACTTGCATTAACAAATATTGAAAAGCAGTAAATTTTTACTTGTTTTTATGCCAAACTCTATTGATTTCCATGTGACAGTCTATGTAACAATTATGTAACAGTGACAGTAATTCAATAGAGAAATGTGGAAGGAATAGTTGAAGCATTTTCTGTTTTATCAATATATGAAAAATAGTACTTCATTATTAAAAATAAAAATATAATGGACTGCTTCAATCCTATGTAGGTTTAAATCCAACTAAGAGTCAAGAAAACCTATCTATATATATGGTAATTCTATAAATCTTATTTTCAAAATTATTAAAGATATACATATGAAATACATAATCATGGTTATTTTGGGTGTGTATATGTCTTCGTAATTTAGATCACGTATTTTACCTGTAAAACAATCTTTGAATATTTGTTTTTCATCCTATGATATTTTTGAACAATTTATTTTATTCAAGCAGTTTCTCAGGATTTGGCATAACCTGGACATTATGAGTTTTATGGTTTTTCTCCTCCCATTTGCCTCTAAAATTAGATGTAACAGTTGCAAGTAGTCCCCCTCTATGTACTTCCAAAGTCATTTTCTTATAGACACACGAATGTCTTCTAAGATCGATCACACCTGGGTTTCTGTGTGCCAAGTTAAAAGGTGCTTGGTGAGCTCACAAAGTGGAATGCAAATTGGAAAAGGAAGTGAACTAGGAAATACATGGACATAGATTATATACATAAGCTTCTTTGCACTGAGATGATTTTGCAAAGTAGGCGAGCATTTTTGGTAATTTGGTTTTTGATACGTGGTAGAGACATATGTGCCTATTCTTAAAGCATCAGAATTAATTAGAAACTTTTTAGAGCTTTTTAGGGTAGCCCACAGGTTTATTACTAAAACAAGGCTGTTTAGCACACCATTAGAATCTCTTGAAAACTGAAGTTAAATATGAGCCACATTTTAACTGCATTTATAAACCAATTTTACATTTTATCGTCAAAATGTTGTCCTTTTCATTACTTAGGGTTAGGGCAACGACAATCACATTTATCATAGCTGCCAAAACATTTGCTTGCCACTTCAGGTCTCCTGGCTACTTTGCTCTTTTCTAACTTGCCTCTTTTAAGTCATATTCAATCCTGGAACTGCTTTTGAACAATTCATTTTTTTTGCCTTAGAAACTGCATGCTTAGAGCAAAATAACTGGGGCATAAGCTAACAATCCAAATAAATTTGGAGGGGGATTTCAGAAAATTTGGTCAATATCATACTTAATTTCTTAAGCAATGCTTTAATCATGTGAATTTCCCTCTTAAAACATCAGGGAGAGGTTCTTTTATCTACCCTTTATCCATTGGCTATCCAAAAGTGTGTAGTAAAGTGACAGGGCTGATGAAGAAATGATTTTTACCTGTTGACTCGGAGACATACTCTATGAAACAGGCAGTCAGTCCTAATAATTGGAACTATGTAGTCTTAACAAGATCAAAGTATCATTACCCCATGGAAAGAGACTTCCAGTTGAAGCTCTCAAACACTCAAGACTCATTTTCTTAAACTGATAATAGACATCTACATAGATTCTTCAATTCAACTGACTACCTTGGTTTGATTTCTTACACTGAAGCAACAAATGTTTTTAAAGTTCCTCCAAATTTAATAAAATATATGGCTGAAAACCATTCACTCCTGATCTTCAGAGGACTTGTTAAGATTAGTTTAACAGAACACCAAATACTGTATTTATAGGAAACTGAATTGTATTTTTATTTGGAATTTGGACCAAAATACTTTTATAATTCCAAAATCATATTGAAATTGATAATACTATAGGCTAGTTATAGCTTTTTCTACCTGAAGAGGATAGAGAATGAGGCTTTTATTCCCATTTTAATAATGTTGGAGGAAAGGTTATGTTGCCATCTTCTAGGGCAGTGTGAACCTCAGTGACCTGTCTCTTCAATTGTCTTGATGGCTGGAAAAGGTAACTTAAAAATATATCCTTTGAGTTTTTTTAAAAACAAATAATTCTCTGAGTTTTCAATATGATTTAAAATTATGAGTAATTAATGTATTTGTATCTTTACCAGGGAAATTAGTCTTGCAGACTTTCTTTAAATAATTTCTGATTAACCAAAGGATTAGTAAAATGTGCTTACTTCACACCATTTTCTGACAATCTACAGCAAAATTAAGGCAAATGTTATTTCGGAGAGTCCGCTAACTGGTCATATAACCAACATTTTAGTTAAATTTCTGTCAGCTGAACTGTAAAAAATTAAAGATCCAAGATAAAATGTGCTCCCATGCTTCAAATCTGACCAATTCCATTACGTGCACTATTGAAGTATGAAGGCTTTCTCGTTGATCAAAATGCTGGTGAGAATCTATACCCTTTTTTTTTTTTTGTCATGAGTACTCTTGCTATGAAAAAAAGAGTAGGAAGGCCAAATGAAAGACTGAAAAAAGCAGCCATAAAGTGACTTTTTACATTTTTTTAAGTAGGTCACAGTAAGGTATATTATTCTTACTGCAAAAGTCAGGTTAAGCCTCTCAATTAAGAAAAGATGCATTTATAGAGCTCTTCCATTTTTATTGATTTTTGATGTCATTTTAAAAATGATGTATAACCATATTGTAGGAAACTGGACCCAAGGAGCATTTCTTTCCTATCTTTAGCTACTGCCAAAGAGCATGGTTCTGGCATCTACAGGTCTTGGGAGTATTACCTTGTAGAGCAGCTGGGATGATCAGCCCATGAGGAAGGGTCATTGTCTTTGACATTTATGAATATATGAGTGTCCTTGTCCTGGTGCTCTGCTATACACCTGAACATAACCTATGCTTCAGACAAAAGCAAGGTCTCTCATTTGGAACAAGGATAATCTGCTTAAAAATCTAAATCTCTAATAAATGGCTGACGTGTGCAAGAATATCATAGTACATAGCTCTTTGTAAGGTAATTTTAAAAGAAAATGGTACGCATTTTGCTCAGCCAAGCAATCTGAAAGTTCAAAAGGTAAGAAGCACTTCTCAGCATGAAACTGTCAAACATATTTGAAAAGAAAGTTAATTACAATTGGCATTTTCAAGCCTTCTGCTGGCCATGGCTATCTTACTGAAAGGTGACATTAGTGACATCCATTGTATAGGGGCTGAGAAATGAAGAGTATCAAAAAACTGAAGCTCTGCATTTCTGTAACATAGGATGAACAACCCCAGGGCGCTGGTTTTTTTGTAGACATTTTGTAGCTTTGTGCATGTAAAGTGATTGAGAATAGGTACAAACTAGATAGAGAGAAAATAGTGTTATTCCAAAGAGGTCATCTGAATTAATCCTTTCCATGGGAAAGAGATTGGAGAGGATTGATGGTCACACAAAAACACCTTCTAATTTTGCTCACCTCTGAGTTTTCCTGGGTGGACTTAGATTTCCCTTTGATGACTTCTTGGTTACTTTTTAGCTATGTTTTTTCTCAGAGAGAAAGAAAGAAAGAAGAAGGGAGGGAGGAAGAAAGGAAGGAAGAAGGGAGGAAGGGAAAAGAAGAAAGGCAAGGAAGGAAGGAGGAGAAGAGGGAAGGAAGGAAGGAGACATCTAATCATTCAGATGAGTTGAGCTTTGGCTAGCTCCCAAAGAAATCTGATAGTAGAATATGACTAATCTTTTATGTGTTTCTAAGCTGACAGGGGAGTGAAATGCCAGTTGGGTTCTGAATGACCCTCAGCAAAACCAATAAACTTTAGTTGTTATTTATCATTATGTTGACCTGTAAATATTCAACTAAAACTGGATTATGTCTATGCCATTTAGTGGATAGGGTGTTGGAAATAAGAAAAGCTAACAGAAGAAAATGGACCTTCTCCCAGGAGTATGAATTTTATTTGGAGTTTTGGGGAAAAGTATTTAATATTTAAGTAAAGGCATATGTTATAGGAGTAGAATGCAAACATTCACA
Source organism: Homo sapiens (assembly GCF_000001405.40). Taxonomy (NCBI): domain Eukaryota; kingdom Metazoa; phylum Chordata; class Mammalia; order Primates; family Hominidae; genus Homo; species Homo sapiens. The sequence goes on along the minus strand of NC_000006.12, from coordinate 98,502,931 downwards.
TCTATGTTTCAGATAAATTGAGGCATGTCAAAGAATTGTTTTGCTTGTGTGTGTTGCTTCAACTGTTCCACAGTTCCCAAGAATACACATTTCATTTCCTCATTCACTAGGAAAGTTTTGTGGAAATTTTGATTGTCACTGAATTTTAAGGCTGCAGTTATTAGTTAGAAGTCATTGAATAAAAATTGCTGCACTGTGCAATTTAGCCAATTGTTTAAATATTCCCTTAACAAAATCCACATTATTGTTTTATGCACACCTTTAGCCCTTGGTAACTATAAGGGGCATTGGGATACACACTGGGAATCTTCCATAAGTCAGAAAGTTTTAAGTAAATAAACATGGAAGACAAAAGAGGTCACTCTGAGCCAGCTTGTTGGCCAAAAGCAGTATAGCAAGCATAGAGCTCCAGGTAGGTATGAGTAAGACACACAATTTTTAGTATATTTAGGATAAGAACTATTTTTAGTAAAAAGTTGTTCAAAGCACCAAGTCACACAAAACAGCATTTTCACAGTGTTCTTATAGGACCTAAATTAATATAATTATTCTTATTTGGGTAAGAAACTAATGATATGGTGATACTATTATCAATATATGTGAAACATTTGTTTGACGTATAGCATCATACTATTTTTCTTGTTAGCCAACCCAAGACAAATAAAAGTGAATATTGAATTACCACAGTGTTCTAACCATACAGATGTCATAAGCTACCAATGCTTTTTGATGAAATTACCAGTGTGAGGTAAGTACTCCAAAGTGACAAATGAAATATGCCCTAATTTTCAATTGCACTTTGTAGTTTGTTTAGTATTAGATATTAGGCACTCATATTTGAATTACCATAATCAATTAGAAAAAAATTGCTTGACTTATGTCTTCAAAAATGCCATGTTCACATGTTTTCATGCAGCTTTTATTAGTTTGCCTTGTCTGAGTACCCAATTGTAATGCATGAACCTAAACTTTCTGCTCTGAATAGTGATATAAATATGGACTCTTCCAGTGGTATACTGTTTTGCTCAAATGTAAACGTCCCAGAACAATACAACAAAATCTGTAAGCCAAGTGGTTTTTGAAACTATTTTCAAGGTTTAAATAGTAATATAAATAAATTCTGGGAAATGACAAAGTCATACACATTTTACAAATACCATATAGAGCCAATATTATAAAGTCCACCCTCAAAGGGAATATGTTTATTCAGTTTAATGAGGAATTTATAATTTTGGATCCCGCACGTTCCTTGATAGAATGAGTGAAAAATAGCCACTGGGCTGAAGCAAAGGTATTGACGGTACTAGGAATTAAAAAATCAAACTTGAACTACATTTGTTGCCATGCCAAACAAGATACTAAAAAAATACTCTGAGACAGAAATCAACAAAGCTAATTTTGTTTTTTTCTGTCTTTGTAGGGATATGACAAAGAAGGAACTAGCAAGTGACATCTTAAGAAAGTTAGGATTAGAACGCATTGGATCTGGGCGCTAGTTTACAGAAGCTTAGTCTTCTTGTTTATGCCTCAGGAAGTAATAACAGTATTAATCCATCTAATAAATGTTTATTGAACACCTACTATGCACTAGTCACTGCTTCAGGCCCTGGGGATACAGCAGTGGGAATGAAAAAGCGGACAAAATCCCTTGCTCTCATGGAGCATGCATTATAGTGAGGAGAGGGTCAATAATGATTTTTTTAAAAAGAAAAACACTCATTTATAAGATGGTGATGTGTGCTCATTCTATCTTGATTACATCACTCATTTGAAAATGTAGGTATGTTGCTGTGTGATTCTAATTCTTATGGCTTTCAGAAAAGTTACAAACTAGAAAAGCCCTATTATAGCTATTAGAAACTTCTTAACTAGGAATTGTTCTGTTCAGATGAGAGAAAAGGTTATATATTCCAGTAAAAACTAGAAAGATATTTTAATCTTATTTTAAATACTATCTTGAGCCATTTTTGAGACTGAAATGCCATACAAAATATGCTCTTTAATTAATGTCTAATACATTTGAAATGTTTACATACAAATTATAATTTCCATTAAATGCATGATGTATTAGGCAAACTTTGATGATACACCTTTAATTTTTATATCTAATATTTAACACTTCGATTTGTTTTTTTTTCAGATTGGAGGATTTTATGAAATGCTTTAAAGATAAAAATAAAACTTTCTTCTCCATTATGGCTAGGAATCATCATTATTATCATTTTTGGTAGCATGTAAATCTGTAGTGGTTCTTATTACAGTCAAGTAGCAGTTACTGGTGAGGGCACAGATGATCAGTTTTAGACTTGTGTGCTGCTGAATGCAGCCAACAACGCACTCATCATGAGTCTAACAGATTTTTCTGCTATTCGGACCACTGGGAACCTTATGAACCAGTTAGCTCTGCCCTCCTTCTTGTGACAAAGTGCCAACATTGTCAACATCCAGGAAACCAAGTACCAGAATCATTTGCTATTGCAATTAGCTTACTTTCAGAGTATAAAACAAAGAAAAGTAATAATTTTTTTTCAGTCTCTAGGCTTTAAAAGCTCTGAAATTTTCTGGCAAAAATTTCCAGCCAAAAGCTAGGAATATACTTAATCTGAAAATATGAGATAATTGTATGTCTCTCTCTCTCTCTTTCGCATTGAGGGGTGAGGGATGATTTCTCCCTTATATAGACAACCCCACAATTTTCCATAATTTTAGAATTGGAATAGGCCCCAACTCCTTCATTTTACAAATAAGGAATATGGGGTCCAAAAGTTCGGTTAACATCCCAAAGCTAGGGAATAGCAGAACTGGTCTCTAGTTCTAAGTTCCTGATTTGTAATCTAGTTATTTTATTATCCCATTCCTGTTGTCCCTGCTTGCATTATATTATACTTTTGCTTATATGTTTAGACATCATGAGTTAACTGAACATGTCAAATTAATAGAATATCATCTCTCTTAAGGACAGATTTTTTTTTCTTTTTTGTTCATGATTCTATTCTCAGTACCTAAACAGTGCTTGAGACATAAGAAGTGCCCCAGAAATATATGTAGGAGGAGATTAATGGTGATCAAATTGGTGCATTAGTGATTGGTCTACAGTTAACTTATTTTCTATTTTGCCAAATCTACCCCAGAGAGAATTATAAATTCTACTGGGAAAATAGTAAATTAACTGAAAAGACTCAGTTAGTAATGAATGGGGAAGTTAATGCTGGGAATACCATTTAGTTACTCAGAATTTGACCAAGCTTGACAAAATGCTCAAAAGGTAGTGTGAAACATGATAAAGCAAACGAACAGTGATTAAGACAAGAATGAGAAACATTGCAATGGCGAAAATGTATTTTACGTTTATTTTGATGAAGAAAGTTGGAACACATATATAATTTCCCTTGCCTATATTTTTGCAAGGTAAATACTGAAGGTATGTTTTCATTTTGAAAACAGAAGTCTGTAATCCGTAGAAGTCAAACCATTTGTCTGAAATTAAAGAAAATCAGAAGAATGACTGGAAAAAAGGAAAGGCGTGGTCTCACTATAAGTTCAATTCTGCTTCCATTTAGACCATGCTGCTTCTGGTTTGGTTTAATCAAAACAATAAAATCAGTCAATAGGCCACTGGCTGAGCTTTAAACACTATTTTAGGCAGAATAAAGAAAGTGCATAATCATCTCTGTTCTTGACAGTCTTCACAAATGAGAAAAGAAATTCAAAGCTTTAGCTCCATTGATATTTGAAACATGACTGTTTAAGGTCATACCTTAGTTGCTGAGCAATAGAGGAAGTATAATTGAAAACAATGACTGACTCTGCAAAACCCACAGAAGAGATCCACAGTGCGTTGCAATCAGATGTGTGCTGGAGAAGTCGCCATGAGCTGCTGTCTGAGTGATGACAGAGTGGCACAAAGCTGAAGGCTAACTTCTGCTGTTAGATTCACATTCACTGTCTCTTTTGAAAACAACCTGGGCTGAGATGCTCTACTTCTGAAACCAGACTTTTTTTTTTTCACTGAATTAATTTATCCTCTACATCACGAATCACAAAAACACATTTTTGCTTGAGCACAGACATAAAATATAACTCACTTCCTTTGTTGCTGTCCAGAAATTCCCTTCAAAGCACTTTGGACACAATTGTCAAACAAGCATGATTTACTTTATGTGTGATGTTTTTGCTCAAAAGTAGGAAGTTTCTTTGTGTTTTCCTTAGAAAGGACTACTACATTTCTTTAACCCTCTTCTGCAACCCTACTGCCCTCCTCACTCCCACACCCCCACACAAAGACACTCCTTAATTGTATTACTGTTAGGCTGACCTCCAACCTCAACTAAAATGAGGACAAGGCTAGTTTTGTGTTTCGTGGGATAACAATTTATGAGCAATTAAAAATGAAGGGACACAAAACATTCATCACAGTCTCAGCTAGACAGGCAGCTGAGGTCAAAGGCTCTAGCCATGAAGTGTGCACAATATATTTTTATTTCTGTTTTCACTAAGAAGGAAACGGGTTAGCTAAAAATTATGGCATGCAGCCTCCAGTTCAAAATAGGTGCACTTAATCTTTGGAGACAGTTCACGCTTGGCCAGATAGGTTATGACAGTGCATGCAAAGACACACACACAAACGCACACGCACGCAACCCGAGTACCATGCAATATGATGTGGGAAAATGAAACATTTTTCTAGTTTAATTCACATACACTTTCTAAAAGAAAACTGTGCTGAATAAATATTCATTATGATTTTATAGCCAAATATACAATATTTCTCTCCTCTTGCCCCTATTATGGAAAACAAAATAGAAGATTTTAAGGTGTAATTCCTCTTGGCACATTTCTCAATCTGTTTGGAATAACATGAAAGTCTTATAATCTTATTTTCCTGGAGCTTCAATGGTATATTACATGAAGGTTGAGATTAATGTCTTGCATGCTGAGCTTCAGTCAGTTACGTATCAAAGCACTGCAGAAAATGCCTTTCAATGGAATGCTGTTGGTTTTTAGAATATTTTTTCTTTCCTGAAACACTACAGTATTCAAATATGACACTGATATTCTGATTTGAGGTCTTGGCCTGGCACAGGTAAAAATATTAGTGAATTGACTGTTAGATTATGCTATTAATTGACCTTGCTGTTGTTTTATAATGTATCCAGTTGTCAGAAAGAAAAAGATCTATAGCAAGCAAATCATCGGTTTTTATTCTGCATGTAGGTTTGCTCACTTAACCAAAGTACTGCCATGTCAGAATAAACAAGAACTAAATGGTAATGATTGTTAGGATTAGATGCTGCCAAGGGGGTGGCAAGTTCACTTGTAAAATTTTCAGATGATAGGAATAGAGAATTCACTATCACAAATTGAGAGTCTTTTACTTTCTTCAGTAATTTTCTATCAGAAAGCAAAGTACATTTTAAAAAAGAATTCAATTTGCACCTAAACAGTATCACTTTGCTAGAAGATAAAGATTAAAAGCTACCAATAGGCAGGCTTGATGGCTCATGCCTGTAATCTCAGCACTTGGGAAGGCCGAGGTGGGCAGATCATCTGGGGTCAGGAGTTCAAGACCAGCCTGGCCAACATGGTGAAACCCCATCTCTACTGAAAATACAAAAATTGGCCAGGCATGGTGGGCAGCGCCTGTAATCCCAGATACCTGAGAGGCTGAGGCAGGAGAATTGCTTGAACCTGGGAGGCAGAGATTGCAGCGAGCTGAGATCACGCCACTGCAGTCCAATCTGTGTGACAGAGCAAGACTCCCTGTCAAAAAACAAAAAATAAAAATAAAAATAAATAAAAGCAACCAATAGTCAACTCAGATTAACACAACCTTTCTCTCATACTCAGGGTTTTTCCCCCAGTGACATTCTGAAATAAACTGAGTGTTTAAAACAATATCACTTTTTCTTTTAAATTTAACTAACTAAATTATCATTAAAATGTCACTTAAAACTAAATTAGCCTAATTATTCACAATTTAAGTTGTTAGTGACTGTGGAAGCTATTGTGTTTATTTATTTTTGTTTTTGCCAAAATTGTTATGAGCTTCTAGAATAAAGTGTAATGTTAAAGGAATAAAAGATAGGGAGAAAAAAAGAAAGGAATGAAAGAAAATTTAAAAAATCAGAATTCTGTTATTTGGAAGATTTTCTCTTCAAGAGTGATTGTCAGTGGAAGGATCTGATTTGTGCACTCTGCTACACATCCCATGGGATACAGAAAGCCTTTGAGGACAGACAAATAGGAGACTGATTTATATTAAGTAGACCTAAAATCTGTATCTTCTGTTAGTTTAATAAACCTGAACCTAAACAACGCAAAAGGAAAAAAAATCTGTTTCCCATGCATATCAAACTACAGAGATTATACAGTTTCACCATTGACAACAGACTTACTTTCTCTCTACCAACCCAGCCCACTCTTAAGCTACTTCCCTGACTCCATCCCAAGTTTGTGCCCCTCCTCTGAGCTGATATGGATATACAGTCATCTCCAACATCCTTAATTTATTATTCTAAACCATCAGTCTCTGTGCCTGTTCTTCTTAGCTTTAGCCTCTTTGAAGGCATATTCAAATGCTTTATCATTATACCTACCCCCTGACACACAGCCCTATATAATTATAAAATATCATAATACTCCTTGCAGTAAGCTTGGAAAATACAGGAAAACACAGACAAAATACATTTCTGACAATCACACCATCCAATGATTATTACTTATAACATTTTAATGTAAGTGCTTCTAATGTTTTCTTCTATTTATACAATATTTTTAAGTAACAGCATACACTACCTTTTTTTCTTTTGCTCTGTGAATATTGTTAATTACTTTGATTTCCTAATGTTTAACCAACCTTGAATTCCCGAGATAAACTGAACTTTGTCATGAGGTACTATCCTTTACATTAATTGCTGAATGTTATTTATTATTATTTTGTTACCGGTTTTTGTTTCTTCATTCGTTATAAATACTCATCTGTAATTTAATTTTTTTGTAATGTCTTTGTCAGATTTTGGAATCAGAGTTTTGCTGGCCACATAAATTGAGTGCAAAAGTGTTTTCTCCTGTATTTTCTAAGAATGATATATATATTTTTTTTACATAAATGTATTATAAAAATTACCATTGAAACCATTTGGGCTAGTATTTTTCTCAGTGGAAAGCTTTTGATTATAAATTCAATTTCTTTAATTGATACAGAACCATACAGACTTTTTATTTCTTGTACTAGCTTTAGTAAGTTATGTTTCTTAGGAGTGTGTCCATTTCACCTAAGTTGTGGAATTTATTGAATAAAGTTGTATATAGTATTTCCTTGTTATCATTGTCATGTTTGTAGGACTTGTTAAGACTCTTTCATTTCTCATAGTTTTTTTTCTTAATGAGTCTGGCTAGGGGTTCATAAATTTTACCAATCATCTGAAAAAAGTCAACTTTTGACTTTATTGATTTTATCTATTATTTGTCCATTTTTAATTTTAATTTCATCTTTTATTTTATTACTTATATTGCGTAATTTACTTTGTAATAAGTTAACAACTTAATTTGTTCTTCTTTTCCTGGCATCTTAAAAGGGAAGCTTAGATAACAGATTTTGTACTTTTCTTCTTTTTTAATATGGTAGCCTCTCCTTATCCGTGGGGGATATGTTCCAAGACCCTCAGTGGATGCTTGAAACCTCAGATAGTACAGAACCCAATACACTACGTTTTTTCAATCTGATAACGAAGATGGTTGCTATGTGACTAACTGATGGGTAGGGTCTATATGTGGATATACTGGATAAAGGGACGATTCACATTCCAGGCAGCACAGAGCTGGACAGCATGAGATTTCATAATGCTACTCAGATTGGTATGCAATTTAAATCTTATGAATCATTTATTTCTAGCATTTTCCATTTAATATTTTCAGATTTTTTTTCTTTTTAAATTTTTAAATTTTTAATTTTTATGGGTAGATGGTAGGTAGATATATTTATTGGGTACATGAGATATTTTGATACAGACATACAATGCATAATTAATGCCCTTCTGTCACATTTTTTTCCTATTTTCCAATGAGGCAACTGTGGCTTGAGAGGCAATAATTTGCCCAAGATCTCATGGCCTGTAGGGTACAGGGCTTATAATCTACCCACATCCACCCATATAGTTTAAATCATTTCTCAATTATTTATAATACCTAATAAAATGTAAATGCTATGTTAATAGTTGTTATACTATATTGTTTTTATTTATTTGTATTATTGTACTGAGTTTTTTCTGAATATTTTCAACCTGTATTTGGTTGAACCTGCAGATGTGTTGTGGAATCTGCAAATATTGAAGTTTCACTTTGTACACGTCAACATCTTTCTTTTGAAAACTATGTAACTGTAATTGACAGAACATTCCACCTACTGACTTATATACAAGCTGTTTTAATATGACGGTTTGATTGACTGTTTGTCTTATAGCAAGCATTGCTGTACTCAGCACACATTTGACATTACATGCACAGACCAAATTCCAACAGATAGCTGGATTTACTGTTGGTACCTTTTGATTTTAGTAGATACGACCTTAATTATACTCCATATAATGTTTTACCAATAGACATCTTCCAACAGTTCACAAGAAGATGTTTTAACCCAGACACTGGCCAACTGTAGTGTATATTGACATTTTAAACTTTTACCAGATTAATGGATAAAATAAGGTATTTCATTTGCTGCCTATTTTGAACTTCTTTAACAACAAGTAAAAACCTGCCAAAGGTTTTTCCAAAGAGGATGTGCCATTTTGATTTCAGTTCCTATCAGCTAGGTATGAAAGTTCTGGTTGCTCCAAATATTTGCCTATATTTAGCATTTTAAATATTTTTAATTTTACCCACTCTAGTGAAAGCAAAATATTAGCACATTGTGGTTTTAACTTATTTCTCTGATGACTGATAATATTGAGCTTATTTTCTTGTGCTTATTTACCAGGCACATATCTTTCTTAGTGAAATGTCTATTCAAATCTTTTGACTATATTCTTATTAGGTCAGTTATTGAGTGGAAGAGCTCTTTGTATATTCTGGATGCAAGTCTTTTAACAGATATATGTTTTGCAAAAGGTATCTCCCAGTTTGTAGCACATCTTTTCATTTTCATAACAGTATTCTTTCAAATATAAGAGTATTAAATTTTGAAAAATTGTAATTATCAATTTTTTTCTGTTAATATTTCTGATCTTTGTGTACTTTTTGAAAAAATATCTGATTAAATGGAAGTCATAAATATTTTCTCCTATAAAGTTTCTAGCCCTAGAGTTTTACAGCTCTAGTTTTTATGTTAATGTCTATGATCATTTCAAGTTCATTTTTGTATATGATATTAAGTAAATACCAAAGTTTATTTTTTGTCTCTTTTTTTTCCAGTTTTTGGGGTTTTGTTTGTTTGTTTGTTTGTTTGTTTTTTGCAAATGGATACCTAACATTGCAGCACCATTTACTGAAAAAATGTCTTTGTCCCACTTACATTTGTTGTGAAGGAAATGACCAACATCTGACTGTTTCTATACTGTATTGACCTGTATGTCCATCCTCATACCAACTTAACACCATTCTGATTACTATAATCCAATAAAGTCCATACTATTTTCCTGTTGCTGCGTAACTAATTATTCCAAAATTTAGCGACTTAAAACAATAATAACCATGTATTAGCTCAGAGTTTCTGTGGATCAGAAATTGTGACAGAACATACAGGGGTGCTTTACCTCTATTTTGCAATATCTGGTGTCTCAGTTGAAAGACTCAAAGGGTGGGAGCCTAGAATCATCTGAAGACTTAACTGAGGTTTCAGGGTTCACTTCCAAGGTTGCTCACTCACTTTGCTGGCTAGTCAGTCCTGGAAAGATTGTTTCTTTTGCTGCATGGGACTCTCCACAGGGCTCCTGGAGTTTTGTCATGACATGTATGCTGGCTCTCTTTCCCCAGACTCTGTTCCCCAACAGTGAGTGATCAAAGAAAGGGCAAGGAAGAAGCATCAATGCCTTTTATAATTTGGCCTCAGAAGTCACTCCACTACTTCCAACAGATTCTAATTATAGAAGTTAGCAACTTCATATTACCTACAACCAATTGGAGAGGAATTAGCCTTTACCTTTTGAAGGGAGAAGTGTCAAATAATTTGCAGGCATATTTTTAAACCATCACAAGTAGATTTTGAAATCAGGTTGTATAAGAATAACTTTGTTCTTCTTTTTCAAAATTCTTTTAGCTATTCCAAGGCCTTGCATTTTCATACATATTTGGAACTCATTTGATAATTTCTACCAAAAAATGCTGGGATTTTGATTTGGATTGCATTTAATTTGTAAATAAATTTGAGAATAAATGCTGTCTTAGCAATATTGAATCTTCCTATCCATGAGTACAGTCTATCCCTCTTCTTATTTAGGTCTTTTAAAATGTCTTCTGGCAAAGTTTTGTAATTTTCAGTGAACAGGTTTTTAAAATATTTTGTTAAACTTTTGCCCATGTATTTTATGTCTTATGCTATGCTATTTTAATTGTATATTTAATTTTAATTTCTAGTTGTTTTTTGTTAATGTATGGAATTACAATTGATTTTTTAATATTAACTTTGAATCTTGTGGCCTTACTAAAATTGCTTATTAACTTTAGTAGCTTCTTTGTAGATTCATTGAGATTTTTTATGTAAACAGTAATAAATCTGCTAACTAAATTTAGAGGTCACAGGTTATTCTCAAATTTGTTAAGCAATGTATGCATGTTTCATTTGCGTGAAATAGTCACTGACGTATACAAAAAAACTTAAGCAAAAATCTTTCTAAGCCGAAAAACCATTAGAGCTTGAAGGAAATTTTTGAACTCATCTTTCCTCCTTACACTACCACTAATTTTATGGATGAGCAAACTAAAATCCGGAAGCTTAAAGGCCTTCCTCAACATCATTCAGCGATTTATTTTATAAAGATTAAGAGTCTATATAGTATATAACACACAAAAAGGCAATGTGGGTTCTCTGTCCGTTTATACATACTTCTAGCAAATATGAATTGATTACCAATTTCATGCTAGACATTATGCTCAGTGCTGTATTGTGTTCTGTAACATTTCTGAGACTGAGTGCATTCTTGCATCCTCATTAGTATCCACTTGCCCTATTGCTGCTCCAGGGACAGAAATGAGAAAAGCCAGACTTCGAAGCCTAATTTTCAGGGGCTCACATCACTTCTGTTCCTGTGTCGTGGGACCATCCAGCAGGTATGTTATCACAGTGAGTACAACATGGGTGTCTAATGGTGCTCTGGATGCAAGCCCAACTGTGAATAATATCCAAGGTGGAAAGACGTATTGAAAATATTTAGAAGTACCTATGCTTTCTAGTGAGGAGAAAACTACTCTTTAATGTTCTTAGCTTTTAAAATTAATAACAAAATTTAGTAGAATCAAAGTAATATTTAGAGAGGAGATTTCTTTTAAGTACAACTGGCCTCCATCCAATCTCATGCCAAGAGGAGTGAGTTAGAATATTAAAATAAGAAAGGTGCATATGGGGTATGGAAAAGGACAACGGTGAGTCGTCCAGTTTAAATCTCACATCAGACTCACATTTGGTAATTCTCAACACTGGTTGCATGTTAGAACCATGTGGAAGCTTCATTTTTGGATTTAATTGGTTTAGAGTGAGGTCTGGAGATCACACATTTTTTTATGTGCCCCTCTCCCAGGTAAGTCTAATATGCAGCCAAATTAGGAAGCACTAATTAAAAACACCATCAGAATCGAGTTTAGAAAGAAAAAGGAAAAATCATGTCTTTTTTTGCCATGGTAGAAAGACTTGACTTTGTAGTCAAAGGGGAATACAATATAAAGCTAGAGTTTAATTAAGATTAAGCCTATGACTATTGGTGCAGAATGGAAGGTGTGTGTATGTGTGCAGGTTTACACTAAAGGCAGAAAGCCAGTTACAAGATTGTTACAATAGAGCAGTTGGGAGGTGGTAAAGGTGTAAAACCGGGTTAAAATGGGGGAAAAAATAAAGAAAGAAAACATTTCCTTCCAGATACGAAAAAGAAGCAAACAGAAAGGAGTATGCTCCTTCTACCTCCTCCAAACTATCAGTCGCATTCTAAACTCAATTACATATTGCCTTTCAAATTGCTTAGTGTATATATATATATATATACACACACACACACATATATGTACACTGATATGTATATACTGATATATATATAAATGCAAAATATATATATATATAAATGCAAAAAGGACACTTTAATTGCTCATGTAAAGTGACCATTTCTTCCACCTAAAATAATCTGAGGGAATAAATTTTGTACATGTTCTAATAAATAATTAAAAAATTTAAAAAATATATTAACTTACACAAATCTAAGTGAAACCAACACATGTAATTACATGTAATCACATATCAAAACTCTTTCTGGAATAGAATGCAGAACCTATAGTGCACAATTAAAGATTCCTGAAGGGACTTCATATCAAGGATAAGATCCTGGAACAAGAAGTAAGTGGAAACAAGCATTTCTGATACGTGGCTTGTCTACATCAGGCTCAGACAGCCCAGAGAAAAAAGATGATCTTACTAAATTGAAAAGTTTCCTATAGCTTGGACTTGTGAAGCCCAAGTCAATATTCCTTTGTAATAAAATAGATGAAAGGAAATCAAACTATTTTCTGACTATGGCCCTACTGATTATTACAAAGCTCCTTCAGTGTGCATTGGTTCTTCCCCTCTTTCCTCCACAGTGTTGACATAGGGGGTTCCTGTGGGAGGTCTCTTCTGAGGTGCCACGTCTTCTTAAAAGCCCTCCTTGACCACACAGCCCATGCTCCTAGCATTCACTACCAGATGCCTCTTTCCTCAGTATTACTATCACCATCTGAAATTTCAGTGCCATTTTATAATTAACTGATTAGTGTCTATCTCCTGGACTAGACTATGAGTTCTGTGATGGTAGGAACTGCATCTGCTCTTGCTTACTTCTGTATCTTTAGTTCCCAGGGAGGTGCTGGACACAGAGCAGAAATTCTGGGGTCTGACAGTGAAGAAAATAGAAACCATGTCACTTTCCATTTTATAACATATATAATTTAACATGAAAAGATATTGTGGCATACAACAGAGTGCGGAAGGGTCAATCTGGAGCTGGGAGTTAATAGGTTAATAAGTAGCACACCCAGATAAATGCCTAGATACACCTAGATAAGTGTATTTTATAACTCCTAGATAAGTGTATTTTATACTCCTAGATAAGTGTATGTATACTAGTATTTTATAACTCCTAGATAAAGACACCTAGATAAGTGTATTTTATAACTCTTAATACATAAGAGTTATAAAATACGTATTTGTAGAGTAAATGAATGAGTCAGATAAGCCAAATTAAAACAAAAATAAGTGGGACTACATCAAACTAAAAAGCTTCTGCACAGGAAGGAAACAACTGACAGAATGAAAAGACAACCTATAGAACGGAAGAAAATATTTGCAAGCCATATACCTGATAAGGATTAATCCATAAAATACACAGGGAATTTATACAACTCAGTAGAAAACAAACAAACTAACAAAGAAACTAATAGCCCAGTTGAAAAATGGGCTAAGGACTTTCTCCAAAGAAGACATACAAATGACCAACAAATATATGAAAAAATGTTCCATGTCACTTATTAGGGATATGCAAACTAAACCACAATGAGATATCACTTCACACCTGTCAGAATGGCTTTTATAAAAAAAAAAAGACAATAAGTGTTGGTGAGGATGTGGAGAAATTTAAACCTTTGCACACTCTTGGTTGAAATGCAAAACGATGCAGCCACTAAGGAAAACAGTATAGAGGTTCCTCAAAATAAATAAATAAATAAATAAAACTACCACATAATTGAAGAATCTACTTCTGGGTATTTATTCAAAACAACTGAAACCAGGATCTTGAAGATATATTAGCACTCCTATGTTCATCAAACTACTATTCATAACAGTCAAAATACATAAATAACCAAAATGTTCATTGACAGATGAATGGATAAAGAAAATGTGGTATTTGTGTATAATAGAATATTATTCAGCCTTAAAAAAAGAAGGAAATTCTGCAATATGTGACAACATGGATAAACCTTGAGGATATTATGCTAAGTGAAATAAGCCAGCCAGAGAAGAACAAATGCTGTACATGATTTTGCCTATATGAGATGTCTGTAATAGTCAAATTCATAGAATCAAAGTGTAGAATAGTGGTTGCCAGAGGCAGGAATAAGGCAGAAATGGGCAGTAACTAATCAATTGACATAAAGTTTAAGTTAAGCTCTAGAGATCTGCTTTATGACATTGTACAGCAATGTCAGTGATAATGTACTGCATACTTAAAAAATTGTTAGAAGGGTAGAGTTCAGGTTAAGTGTTTTTATCACAAAAAATAAATAAATTCAAAGGAAGTAGATAATAACGAAAAATGAAATGTACTTGACTTATGAGGCAATGTAAGAGTTCTAGGCTAGGATCCTGAAATATGGCTTCTAACTCCAAGGCCATATTCATTCAGCTGTGGGTCCCTGAGGAAGTCACTTAACTTTTCTGTTTCATAGATGCTATATATATATATATATACAATGTGCTGTTGGACAAGATATTCTCCAGTGTCTTCTTTAGCCTTTAAGTTGCAGTCTCTTTTAGTTGATCCCTATGATCAAGATATATATGAGTGGCAATCCTGCTTTACCACTTTCTAGATGTGTGACTAGCTATTCAATATCTCTGAGCCTCAGTTTATTTTTCTATGTAATGGTAATAATCATGCCTTTTCTTGGGTTGTTCTGTGTCTTAAATGATATGATGACTATTAAAATGTTCTAACTCAGCATTTGCCATAGTAGGTGCACAACAATTGTTAGCTCTTTTCACTTTTGTTTTGTCAGATTGATGAAAAAAGAGGGGGTAAGCATAGGAGCTCAATACAGCCTCACTAAGTAGCTTTGATCAGAAAGCGGGCCAGGCCTGATAGAGGTGGGCTGGATATGAATGGGTTAAAGGAGTTAAGAGGCTGCCCAGCTGGACTGGTTCTCAATCAAGGGCCTGCATAAAAAGCCAGCAGGAACAGAAGTGGGGGCTGGCCATGCTGAGAGTGCCTTGGGAGGAGGCCAGCAGCTGAGAAGTTGCTCATCTCTTGGTTCAGCCTGTTGTTAAACCATGGAGTAGGGGGTTGTGGGGTAGTAAACTGGATGGCCTGTTAAAACCCTGAGAGAAAGAGAGTGAGAGAGAGAGCAGTGTTTTATATTGAGCCTGACAAATAAAAGACCAACCTGAACCATCTGGTTCTGTAACATATGGGAAACACAGATTTCTATTGTAGATGACCAAAATATTAGTCTATTGAATCTTAAGGCATTTGACTATCAGGAAGAATTTGAATAATGGGACAAATAGCTCTTAGAATGGTGATCCTTATGAGGGACCAGATAGAAGAAAAGGTTTAGATATTGTGGAATGATTGCGGATTTTGGCACAATGCATCTCATTGCAGGCCTCTCAGTTGTTTAGAAATATTAACTCATTAATTCTTAAAAATATTATAAATATTCAGTGAGTCAAATATTAACTCACTGAATCAAAGTGCTTTGGGTGTTGCTGGGTATGAGGGAGCATTGCTCCAATGGAGGGGAGAAGAAACGTAAGTTAGCTGAATAGTTAGGAGACTGCTATTCCTGAGCAGAATGGGTCAGAAAAAACAGCAGGACTGCATCCTGTTCCTATGTTATAATGTCTTTGATTCACAGTGAAACAAAGATTAAACACAAGAACCAGACCCTGTTTGTAATTGCCCCCAAGTAAGGGCCCTAGAAAGGTCTGCTGGTATGTAAGCAATTAGTTTAAAAAATGTATCAAATCATTTGATGATCAATCAAGGATTATATTTTAAAAAGCTATTTTTCTTGTTGCTTTTGAGGTCATGTTCTTTAAGCCTTAGTAAAAGAATGGGGCCAAATTAATGCAAAATTCCATTATAACAGTAGTCTGAGAGAAACATGGCATAGATTGCTAATTTCCAATCTAAGCATGAAGCATTGTATAAAGTTTGTAGTTGAAGAGAATGGAACGATAAAGAATGACAAGCCGAGTGGATATACTACAGCTAGATTTTAGCAAAACACTCTGTAAACTCTTATAATTTATCCTTCAATCTAACCCAAATTGATTTGGGCAGGCTTAAGAGTAACATAATGCTTTATTAAGTGGATATTTAAATGGTGGGGTGCATTCTAACATATCCAAAATTGAGATAGTACACAGAAGGTCAAAATGGGTATTCAGTGTTGCTTAATTGTGTTGCTAATTTGTAAAGAATGCTAAGTGACATCTGCAAAGACAGAAGGGTGACAAGTGCCAACATTAACCAAGGGTTTAAATAAAGAGGCCCAGAATAACCAGAAATATTAGCAAGAAGTTAATGGGTAACAGCTTGAAAAAGTAAAAATACATTTGTGAGGGTACAGACTTTGGGCATACTTTGTCATGACAGGGAGCAGTAGAGTAGATAATAATAGTGTCTGGTATTCATAAAGCATCTGTCTTTGGGGATTTCAAAGCGCTTTGGATGTGTATTATTGAATTCAGCACTGCCCTCTTTTGTCTGGAGTGGCCCTAGCAGTGTCAATGGGGGATGTGGCCAGCCTGCAGGCTGGAGACATTATCATGCGTTTAATGATATAGAGGCAAAGTGTCTGGGGCAAAGGGCATTTCAGGGAGCTAAGAGGCTCCTTGATTTTGTACTCTGAAATTTCAGCTGGCAACTGGGTTGTGACCATTCTCTGCCTGGTTTTTAGCATATGATTGTGAAGGGAGATGAGGAGGTAAGGTGAGTTAAAAAGGCTGGAAAGAGGTATTATCTTGATGAAACTGAGGCATACAAATGAAGTGGGAAAGGGGAGTTAGTCTCTCTCATGAGTCAATTCTGGGCTTTCTGATTGTGTGGCTGCATGGTGATGTCCTTTAACATGGAGGTGGCAATAAAAGAGGTCATAGAATGTAGGCAATGGGATAGAAGAGGCAGTATATCTACTCAACTCTGGCAGATAATCCTAGAGAGTGAAAATATTATCTGAGTCCCTCCTTACCAGGAAGATGGAGACAAGCTGAAGGCAGATCAGAGCAGGAGGGATTGACTCATGGCTAAGTGAGCTGGAAGTGGTGGGGACATGCTAATTTTACAGCTAGGGGAGAAATTATTTAGAATGGTATATGAGTCAATCTGGGAGTAATAGGATGAAATTAAGAATGCTTTTCATCAAAAGAAATGTTTTAGATGGTGAGATAAGTCTCACTAAGTCTATTTTTTGGTTGAAATCATATTTTGGTTGAAAATATCATCTCATGTAATAAGGTCTGTCTGCTTGTTAGCTGCTGAAACACAGCTTGCAAGTGATGATTATGAAGCAATCAACAAACACCTTGCAAAGTTGTGTGTGTGTGTGTGTGTTGGTCCTTACTTTGCAGCAAGCAATAATAACTACGAAAGGTTAAAGTTTACATAATCCTTGTAAGGAAATATAGTTCCTAAATTTATAGTCAATACTTTTCGGTAAAAGAATGAGAAGAACTTGACAAAAGCACATAATCCTCTGTCCAGCACAGAATCATTTGGAACCTACTTTTGTATCTTCCCAAAAGCACCCATGTGACAGATAGCTGCTACAGAGAAAAGTAGAAATTGTGATGATGCAATAAAATGTTGAGCACTTTGCTGTAAAATCATATAAAATCTCTAAATACATGCATTCAGGTGGAGCTGGTGAAAAAACTTTCAGAAATAAACAGCATCATGATTCCTTCAGGAAGTGGTAGCTGTAGCCAATATAAGCCATTTCCTATGTGATTCTTCAGTGGTCTTGAATACATCCTCCCTCTTTGTACTCATAGTAAAAACAACTGATTAGAGTAGGGGAAACAACAGTCAAACAGCCACATTATACAGAGAATGCACACAGACAATTAATGAAACGTGATCAGTCCCGACATTTTTCATATTGCAAGTGGAAACGTGCGTAGGATCTTATTACCTAATAAACTCTTGAGCACACTGACAAATTCTGAACACAGTGCTAACTGTTCTGGTGCACACATACTTCTTACTTTCCCAGATTTCTGTTAAACACATACAAAAATGCTCCCAAACTGCAAGTAGAGCTGCTCGCATGCCAAATCCCGTTAATAACATATAATGGCTTTCTTATGATACATTTTAAAAATCATGGACCTTACAGATTTTATCCAAAGTATTTTGATGTCCCTTGGTCATGCCAGGGAGTCTCTGCTCAATTTCTAAACATCAACAGGATCGCTCAGACATGAAATCGCTGTGTCCAAAGAAGTAAAGCCAGCTCCTAGCTGTTTTAAAAGAAGCCCCTTCTGTGCTGTGAATGTTTTGGGGGGTATTAGAGTTATATGATTTGATCAAAAGACAAAATTAAATAAATGAGCAAGTAATAATATGTAGCCATTTCTTCAACTTTTTTTGCTCAATCCTGCTCAAATGAGTTGGCAGACTTTAGAGGCTGGCTTAAACTTAAACAATTACAAGCTTCCAAACTAATTAGGGAGCAGAACATTATAGGGCTTGCAGAATTTGGCAGCTAATGCTAAAAATAAGAGTTCAAAACTATCTGTTATAGAAACGATTTAAAGGATCCAAGGAACAGCAATAGTAAACTATCAGCATGGCCCTGAGCAGCTCGACTTCCTTTTGTATACCTTTTCTTCATTTTTCACGCTAGTTGATAGAGGAAACCACACAGCTTTCTGTGCCAAAACAATGCCACATGCACTTGGTCTAATTTACAGGATCAATGCATCAATGCCTTTATTATTTCTACTATAAAATATCTATAAAATTTGTTGAAAGTTCTGAGGTTAAAACATTATTACAGTTGTCTCCAAATATTCCATTGTGATACTAGATTATTTTTTTCCTGCCAAAGTACTGCTGCTGCTTTAATATAATTTCTGAAGGAAAAGATTTTCTTTGAATAAAAGCTTCCTAGGAACAGTTCATAGACTGATGAAAGGGCACACCTACTAATTTATAATTTTGAAGTAAACTATAATCAGGAATGGATAAATACAGCCTAATAGAAGTAAAATACTAAGTAAAGTGTTGTGAAGAAAACAAGGTCTCAAAAAGTGAGGCAACTTCTTCCAAGTTTCCATAACATGTTTGCATGTGATAAAACTTGATAAGAAGAGAACTCTTCATTTCTGCCTTGTTATCCACACACAAATTAGTATACCAAAGTCTTTTACAGCACAGGACAGAAACCCTAGACCTGGCTATGAGTGTGGGAATGATCATGAATAGATTCATTTTGATTCTTGTAGCAGAAGGCTTAATTACTGATCAACCAGAAACACCATAGCCTTATTTGTAATGCCGTCTTAACACATGTCCCCAGGACAGAGCCGTGTTGAGGTCACAATGCATATACATTCATGCAGATACATAGGACTCTGTTTTCTCTAGCACATCTTTTCTTGCTCCTAACTACTTACCAAAACAATAAAAGAGAACAGAACAATAGATGTAGGAAAGAGAATTGCAATCATGATACATTTGGGACTCAGTACTTCAGCAAAAACATCCTGTTGCTAACTTGAAAAATAGTGCTTAGCATGGAACGTAGCTCATAGAGATGCTTGATAAAAATTTGCTGATGGGTAGAGTTTTGGGCAAATTGAAGGGTGTTCTTGTATATATTTGGAAAATATTGCTATACATTTCTCTCTTCTTTTTTCTCCCATAATTGTAGCAGCACATAATTGAAAGTCATCTGACTCACAGGATTGGGAGTGAACCTGGCAGGCCCTGGAACAGATCTTCACTGACTGGCATGTGTGTGAGTTAAACCCTCTGTTAATATAAATAGCCTATCTTTATTCAGACAAAGGTGATGTATAAATGCAGCAGAGGAGCCGACACTCTTCCTTCTCTTTTGATCCCCTCACTTCACCCTAGCTTCCCTTTCTCATTTTAATGTCTCAAAGTATTTGTGTACACTTTATACCCATACTTTCTTTGGTATCTATATATTTTTTAAAACCTTGCAACTTTTCTATCACTCCCACCACCCCACTGATATAGCTGAGATTTCTTAAAGGCCAAATTGAACCGACATTATGTGGGCCACAGCCTCCTGGTCTTTATGAAGCACTGAACATTGTGGATCATCCTTTTTTTCTGGAAATTCTGTGCTCTCAAAAATCTCATTGTGACAAACTCCATCTGAACCCCCTTCACATCCTCTTTCTGCCTTCCTGTAGATACCTCCAGATGCTGGTGTTTCCTGGTTTTTCTTTTTTTCTTTTTAAATTTATATATATATATATATATATATATATATATATATTATACTTTAAGTTCTAGAGTACATGTGCATAATGTGCAGGTTTGTTACATATGTATACATGTGCCATGTTGGTGTGCTGCATCCATTAACTCGTCATTTACATTAGGTATATCTCCTAATGCTATCCCTCCCCCTTCCCCCCACCCCACAACAGTCCCCGGTGTGTGATGTTCCCCTTCCTGTGTCCAAGTGTTCTCATTGTTCAAATCCCACCTATGAGTGAGAACATGCGGTGTTTAGTTTTTTGTCCTTGTGATAGTTTGCTGAGAATGATGGTTTCCAGCTTCATCCACGTCCCTACAAACGACATGAACTCATCATTTTTTTAAGGCAGCATGGTATTCCATGGTGTATATGTGCCACATTTTCTTAATCCACTCTATCATTGTTGGACATTTGGGTTGGTTCCAAGTCTTTGCTACTGTGAGTAGTGCCACAGTAAACATACGTGTGCATGTGTCTTTATAGCAGCATGATTTATATTCCTTTGGGTATATACCCAGTAATGCGATGGCTGGGTCAAATGGTATTTCTAATTGTAGATCCCTGAGGAATTGCCACACTGACTTCCACAATGGCTGAACTAGTTTACAGTCCCACCAGCAGTGTAAAAGTGTTCCTATTTCTCCGCATCCTCTCCAGCACCTGTTTTTTCCTGACTTTTTAATGATTGCCATTCTAACTGGTGTGAGATGATATCTCATTGTGGTTTTGATTTGCCTTTCTCGGATGGCCAGTGATGATGAGCATTTTTTCTGCGTCTGTTGGCTGCATAAATGTCTTCTCAGAAGTGTCTGTTCATATCCTTTGCCCACTTTTTGATGGGGTTGTTTGTTTTTTCCTTGTAAATTTGTTTGAGTTCTCTGTAGACTGTGGATATTAGCCTGTTGTCAGATGAGTAGATTGCAAAAATTTTCTCCCATTCTGTAGGTTGCCTGTTCACTCTGATGGTAGTTTCTTTTGCTGTGCAGAAGCTCTTTAGTTTAATTAGATCCCATTTGCAATTTTGGCTTTTGTTGCCAATGCTTTTGGTGTTTTACACATGAAGTCCTTGCCCGTGCCTATGTCCTGAATGGTATTGCTTAGGTTTTCTTCTAGGGTTTTTATGGTTTTAGGTCTAACATTTAAGTCTTTAATCCATCTTGAATTGATTTTTGTATAAGGTGTAAAGAAGGGATCCAGTTTCAGCTTTCTACGTATGGCTAGCCAGTTTTCCCAGCACTATTTGTTAGGTAGGGAATCCTTTTCCCATTTCTTGTTTTTGTCAGGTTTGTCAAAGATCAGACAGTTGTAGATGTGTGGTATTATTTCTGAGGGCTCTGTTCCGTTCCATTGGTCTATATCTCTGTTTTGGTACCAGTACCATGCTGTTTTGGTTACTGTAGCCTTGTAGTATAGTTTGAAGTCAGGTAGCGTGATGCCTCCAGCTTTGTTCTTTTGGCTTAGGATTGACTTGGCAATGCGGGCTCTTTTTTGGTTCCATATGAACTTTAAAGTAGTTTTTTCCAATTCTGTGAAGAAAGTCATTGGTAGCTTGATGGGGATGGCATTGAATCTATAAATTACCTTGGGCATTATGGCCATTTTCACAATATTGATTCTTCCTATCCATGAGCATGGAATGTTCTTCCATTTGTTTGTGTCCTCTTTTATTTTGTTGAGCAGTGGTTTGTAGTTCTCCTTGAAGAGGTCCTTCACATCCCTTGTAAGTTGGATTCCTAGGTATTTCATTCTCTTTGAAGCAATTGTGAATGGTTTTTCACTCTTGTGCTCTTCCTTTCTCATTTCAATCTGTTTGCTGATGACCAACTTTACCTTTAGCCAAGATTTTTGTTTAGAATTCCAGATCCATATGCTTAGCATACTGATGGCATCATTACTGAAATCTATCACAGGCATTTCCAACTCAACTTGTTCAAACTATCTGTCCCCCTTGCTCCCATTGTCCCTGTCTCCCACCCTGTTTTTATTGTCATTTTAGTTAATGATTCTGTTCTCCAGTTGGTTATCCAAGAAATAAATATGTGAATTATCTTGTTTCCTCTCTCTCACTCTTCCTAAGGGTTCCACTCAATCAAATGGTTATTAAGCTCTTCCAGTGCACTTTGTAAACTTCGCTCAATTTTGTTTATCCCCTTTGCTGGTGACGTACTCCACATCCTCGTTATCTCTCTTGTGGACTTTTGCCATAGCTTTCCTCTGCACTCCTTCCTGTCAGGGCTGCCCTCCTCTACATCAGTCTCTACACTGTTGCCAGTTTCTAAAATTCATACTGGGTCATGTTACTTTCCCCTTTAGAATTCTACAGCAGCTTCCCAGGATTACTGGAATACAGCATTTGAGGTCCTTTGTGATCTAGCCTCTACTTAGCTCTGTAGTTTCACCTTCTAATGTGTTGTGTACACACTTCAACTTCCAATCATAGTAAAATATTTGTAGCTGATTCACTTTCCTTCTCTTCCTTCCTTTTATCTTTTCTCCCCAGGTGATTTTTCTCTAGCCTTTTATCCTTTTAAATACTATCTCTAAACTGACCATTCTCAAAATTACACCTCTTGTCTCAGACTTCTAGTCATATATTCATCTACTAGATGTCTAATACACATCTCAGACTTAACATGTCCTAAAATACACTCCTAATCTTCTCCAAAATGTCCGTTCTTGGAGTCTTCCCCTTATCAAGATAGAGCCACTCCCTGTTTCTGGTTGGACAAGGCAAAACCTTGGAATCATTTTTGGTGTCTCATATCCCATGTCAGAGTTAATAAGCAAATTTTGCCTACACTCTCTTCAAAACATGACTACAGTCGAATTTACCAGTGTGATTCAAGCTACCATCATCTTTTGCTGGTTTGTTATGGCCCACTAGCTGGTCTTCCTGCACAGGTTCTTGTCCTTTTTCAGCCTAATCTTATCAAAGCAGTCACTGTGATCCTATTAGAATGTATGTTAAATCATTTCACTCTTCTGCTCAGAACCCTTCAATGACTTCCCATTTCACTCTGTAAAAGGCAGGATCACTTTCAGTTGCTCTTCTTTTTCCAAGAAATTTTCATTTTTCAGTCCCTGCATTAATTAGAATCCTCTGCTTCTTTCTGGCTTCTAAATTTTTCAGAATCCAACTCATTTATCAATTAATGGTACAATATTTTTGTTGCACATTGTTGTATAAAATAGATATTGTTATTTAACCTTCGATGTGCTTGTCTGTAGCCCAAGTGTACAACATGAACAGTAAAGTAGTATACCTTACATTTCTTTTTGTCACTTACATCTTGGCCCATTGTATAAAATCCAGCAGTGTTTATTCAAATTATTGCTTATATTAACATTACAAAATAAGTGGTGCTAAGCCACAGAATTTTAAATGTATATATTTCTTGGCAGAAGCATTAATTTTGGTGGTTCAGTAGTCCTAGACCTTGTTCATCTATGAAGAAGAAATAGCTTCATGTGCATCTTATTAACAATAGCCACAAAGCTGAACTCGAGGAACCAAGTATCAAATCCATCTCTTTTGTCAATACTGGTGTCAGAACCCCTGAAGATATTTCTAACTGTGGCCATATACATTACATATATTCTTGAGATTAGAAGGATACCCTATTCCAATAGACCAGCCCTTGGAGAGTTTACTTTTGGCTCTTAACCTTTTAGATATCATAGACTGCTGGAAGATTTGGTGAGAGTTGTGGCCCTTCTCCTCCCCATATGCCTATACACATAACCACTTAATATTTCTAAACTCAAGTTACCAAAATACTATCCATGAATTTTCCAGGATACCATAGATCCCAGGTTAAGGACCACAGAGCTCATGGACCAAAATATATTTTCCCCTTACTACCATAAATGATTGCATGATTTTAGTTAAAGGATATGCTATGTTTGTTTGTGTCTCAATTTTCATCATTTACAAAAAGAGGAAAAGCTCCTAGTGTCAGTTTAGCACACAGAGGGTGGGCTGACTAAGTCCCTTGGGCACTATGCAAAGTGAAAGTATAATTTCATCCAAGAGGAGAGTTGAGTTAACAGCTAAGAAGTGTGGGGCTTTTAAACAGTAGTAACTTACCTTATTCAATGGTTATGGTAAATTGAACCAGTTCACCTAGATGCAATGGAATATAACTGAAAGAGATAATTAGTTTATGTGGATAAATGCTTCATTTGAAACTAAATAACTTTAGATTTTGGAGCCAGCAGGTCCCTGCTCTACTTTTCTTAATCCATAAAACAGCTCTTAGCATCAATCTTTCTTTATCCTATGATTAATTAAGCAATCATCTCTTTTAAAGATTTATTTCTTTTTTTGTAAAAATGGATGGCATGTTTTTAATGAAATTGTAAAATTTAATCAATGTCCTCCAATTGCACCCCCACACAAAAGAATACAACACTGTGTGCAGAGCAAAGATTTTTTGAATCAATCCAAGTTTTATTTTTTATACATCATTTCTTCCCAACAGCAAAAACAAATAAATAAAATAAAATAAGTAAAAAAGATTTTCAGGCAGCAAAAAGGAGCAATGTTTTAAAAACAGTTCTCCTAGATACTCTGGCGTTCTAGAAGTCTCAGGGAATGATATGGCCCTAGGCAGGGCTGCCAGATGAGCTTTATAGCTCCCTCCCTAAAGAATGGCTTCTCATCCTCTTGCATAGCTTTGCCAAAAGCTAACCAACATGTCACATGCTCATTACACCAAGCACATACCCAGGCTGGTTGCAAAGTGTCTAGATTGTTATGTTGCCTGTATCACTTATGAATCTTGTGAATGCAAATTCATTACATTATATTCACATCTCACCTTCTTCATTTTCTTCCTCTTCTTCCATTACTGAAACACCAGGGTTTCAGTCTAGTCCCTGCTGCTCACCGCACAGAAAGCCAATCACGGAGATGATGAGTATTGCCAAGGAAGAAGGCTTTAATTTGGTGCTGCAGCTGAGGAGATGACAGGTCAGTCTCAAATCCATCTCCCTGACCAACTAAAATTAGTGGTTTATATAGCAGGGAAGAAATGTAACCACATGTAGGAAAACAGGAATTAGGGAGGAGTAAGGAAGAAGAGTTGGTCAAAAGGAAGCAAGTGGTTAGTTAGGCAATCATGATGGATGAGGAGGTCTGATGTCTCACTGGTCAAATGCAGTGATCTGGTGAGTTTCAGATCCTTGATACTATCTGGGAGGATTGATTGCTGGTTTCCTGAGAACGAAACTCAGATAAGAAAAATGTAACTTTCTCAAGTTTTAAGACTGGGTGGATCAATTTCTATGTTTATTCAAAGAAACCATAAACATCAGCTCTATGGGACAGTGGGGTCAGTTTCACCTCCTCCTCATTATCTCCAACTGCCATTTACAGAGCACCTAAGAGGAACCGGGAACTATACTATTTTTCTTTTCTTCCCCCCCAGATTTATTGAAAGTATAATTAAAAATAAAAATTGCATCTATTCAAGGTATAGAAATGATATGATAGATATAATAAGCTGTCAAACTATTATCACAACCAAGCTAATTAACACATCCATCACCTTACATAGTTACCATCTTTTGTGTGTGTGTATGGTGAGAACTCTTAAGATCTACTCTCTAAGCAAATTTCAAGTATTCAATATGGTATTGTTAAATATACTCACTATACACTATGTTAGGTCCCCAGAACTTAATCATTTTATAAGTGAAAATTTGTACCCTTTGACAAAAATCTCTCCATCTTCCCCAAGCAACAATCATTCTACTATCTTCTTCTATGAGTCTGACTCTTTCAGAATCCACATGTAAGTGAAATCATGCAATATTTGTCTTCCAGTATCTGGCTTATTTCACATACCAAAACATCTTCTAGGTACATTTCATCAATATTGTTGCAAATGACAGGATTTCCTTGTTTTTTACATTAGAATTATATTCTATTGTGTATGTGCATATATATTACATATTTCATATATAACGTTATACATACTTCATGTAAAATTCATAATTTATGTAAATGTATATTTATTTTGTGTTTCTTTATCCATTTATCCATCGATGGACACTTAAGTTATTGTGAGTAATGCTGCAGTAAGCATGGGAGTGCATATAGCTGTTAGATTTACTGACTTCATTTCCTTTGGATATATACAAAGAAGTGGGATTGCTTTGTATGGTGGTTCTATTTTTAATTATTTCAGGAACCTCCATAATGTTTTCCATAATGGCTGTATCAATTTACATTGCCACCAGCAGTGTACAAGTTTCGCTTTCCTACACACCCTCATCGAGACTTAGCTCCTGTCTTTTTAATAATAGCAATCATAACAGGTATAAGGTGGTGCATCTTGTTGTGGTTTTGATTTGCATTTCCCTGATGATTAGTAATGTTGAGCACCTTTTCATATACCTATTTGTCATTTTTATGTCTTAATTGGGAAAGGGTCTATTCAAGTCCTTTGCTCTTTTTTACTTAGGCTATTTTTAATTTTCTGTTATTGAATTATATGAGTTCCTTATATATTTTGAACATTAACTCTTTATCAGATATATGGTTTACAAATATTTTCTCCCATTCTGTAGATTGCTTTTTCATTTTGTTCATTG
The DNA here is from genome assembly GCF_000001405.40 of Homo sapiens. NCBI lineage: Eukaryota > Metazoa > Chordata > Mammalia > Primates > Hominidae > Homo > Homo sapiens. The sequence continues at coordinate 98,475,925 of NC_000006.12, read as the reverse complement.
CTTCCTTTGCTGTGCAGAGCTTTTTAGTTTGATGTAGTCCCACTTACGTATTTTTGTTTTTACTTGTCTGTGCCTTTGGTGTCATATCCAAAACAACATTGTGAAGACAAACATCAAGGAGCTTTTTCCCTGTTGTTGTTTCTAGGAGTTTTGCAGTTTCAGGTCTTACATTTAACTTTTGAATACATTTCTTGGGTAGGGTGTAAAATAAGGATCCAATTTTATTTTTATTTTTGCATGTGGATATACAGTTATCCTACACAACTTATTGAAGAGACTATCTTTTCTTCTATGTGTATTATTGGTACCCTTGATAAAGATTAGTCAACAGGATATATATGGCTTTTTTTCTGGGCTTTCTATTCTATTCCATTGGTCTATGTGTCCATTTTTATGCCAACACCATACTGTTTTGATTACTATATCTATGTAATACAGTTGGAAATCAGCAAGTGTAATACCTCTAGATTTGTTCTTCTTGCTAGATTGCTTTGCTATTCAGGGTCTTTTGTTGTTCCACATGAATTTCAAGATTATTTTTTCTATGTCTGTGAGAAATGTCATTGGAATTTCTATAGGAATTTCTTTGAATCTATAGATCTCTTTGGTTAGTATAGAAATTTTAACAATATTAATTCTTCCAGTGAATGAACAAGGGATATCCTCTGATTGATTTGTGTCTTCTTCAATTTTTTCATCAATATCTTAGAGTTTTCAGTGTACAGATTTTTCACCTCAGTTTATTTTACATATTTTATTCTTGTTGATGCTACTGTAAATTAAATTGTTATTCTTTTTTTGCAACAGTTTCTTTCTAGTGTATAGAAATACAAATAATTTTTCTATATTGTTTTTGTATTCTGCATTTTTACTGAATTTGCTTATTAGTTCTAATAGGTTTTTTGGTGGTATATTTAGGATTTTCTATATATAAGAAAATGTAATTTGCAAGTAGAGACTATTTAACTTTTTCCTTTCCAATGTAGATGCTTTTTATTTTTTATTTTTTAGCTTAATTATCTAGCTAGCACTTCCAGAACTATACTGAATGGAAGTCATGAGAGGAAACAACTTTGTCTTTTCAGACTGTGTTGTTAATTATGGGCTTGTCGTATATGGCCTTTATTATGTTGAGGGACATTTTTTCTATAGTCTTGTTAAGAGTTTTTACCATTAAGAAGTGTTAAACTTTGTCAAATGCTTTTTCTGTATCTATTGAGATGACCATATGATTTTTATCCTTCATTCTGTTAGCACAATGTATTATGTTTATTGATTTTTATATATAGAATCATCCTTAATCTGAGGGATAAATCCCACTTGATCATGGTGTATGATCCTTTACATGTGTCATTGAATTTGGTTTGCTATTATTTTGTTCAGAATTTTCACATATATGTTCATAATGATATTAATCTATGATTTTCTTTTCTTGTAATGTCCTTATTTAGCTTTGGTTTGAGGTAATATTGGCCTTAAAATGAGTTTAGAAGTATATTCTACTCTTCAAATTTTTGAAAGAGTCTGAGAAGGATTGGAATTAATTCATCTTTAAATGTTTGCTAAGATTCACTGGTGAAGCCATCTGGTTGTAGTCTTTTTGTTGTTGTTGGAGCTCTTTGACTATTGCTTCAATTATGTTACTCATTATTGATCTTTTTAGATTTTTTATTTCTCTATTCAGTATTGGCAGGTTATATGATTCCAGCAGTTTTTCTATTTCTTCTAAGTTATTCAATGTGTTGGCATATGTGTGTTTCACACTAGTTTCTTATGATCTTTTGTATTTCTGTGATATCATATTTAATATCTACTCTTTCATTTATAATTTTTTGTATTTTAACCTTATCTCTTGGTTTGAAGATTTGTCAATTTTGTTTATGTTTTTAAAAAGGCAACTCTTAGTTTCACTGATCTTTTCAATTGTCACTCCAGTCTCTATTTCATTTATTTCCATTCCATTGTTTATTATTTTCTTTCTTTTGCTAACTTTGGACTTAATTTGTTCTACATATTTTAGTTTCTTGGATTATAAAATTAGGTTGCTTATTTGAGTTTTTTAAGGTAAGCATTTATTTTTATAAACTTTCCTTTTAGAGCTGCATTTGCTGCATCTCATGAATTTGCATAGGTTGTGTTTCTATTTTTGTTTGTCTCAAGATCTTTTTAGATTGTTTCCTAATTTCTTATGTAACTCATTGATTGTTCAGGAGTATGTTGTTCAATTTCCACATATTTGTAAATTTTCCAGTTTTCCTCCTGTTATTGATTTCTAGTTTTATGCCATTGAGGTAGGAAATGATGCTTAATATTATTTCAATGTTTTTAATTTGGTAAGACTTATTTTGTGGACTAACACGTGATCTATCCTGAAGAATGTTCTTTGTACACTTGACAAGAATGTGCATTTTTCTGCTGTCTGACAGCACATTCTGTATTTATCTATTAGGTCTATTTGGTCTACAAGTGTTATTTATGTCCACTGTATGTTTATTGGCTTTCTATCTGGATAATCTATCCAATGTTAAAGGGAATTATTGAAGTCCCTTACTATTGTTGTATTGCTTTCTGTTTCTCCCTTCAGTTTTATTAGTATTTGCTTTATTATGTTTATATTCTGCAATGTTGGGTACCTATATATTTACAGTTGTTACACCTTTAGATGAATTGATCTCTTTATCGTTATATAGTGACCCCATTTGTTTTTGCAATAGGTTTTGACTGGAATTCTTTTTTTTTTTTTTTGAGACAGAGTTTCGCTCTTGTTTCCCACGCTGGAATGCAATGGCATGATCTCGGCTCACTGTAACCTCCACCTCAGGGGTTCAAGTGATTCTCCTGCCTCAGCCACCCAAGTAGCTGGGATTACAGGCATGTGCCACCATGCCCAGCTAATTTTGTATTTTTAGTAGAGATGGGGTTTTGCCATGTTGGTCAGGCTGGTCTTGAACTCCTGACCTCAGATGATCCACCTGCCTTGGCCTCCCAAAGTGCTGGGATTACAGGCATGAGCCACCATGCCTGGCCTTGAAATTCTATTTTGTATTATATACATATAGTCACCCCTGCTCCCTTTTCATTGCTATTTGCATGGAATATCTTTTTTACATCCTTTTGCTTTCAATCTATATGTGTTCTTAAAGTGAGTTTCTTGTGGGCAGCATATTGTTGGACCTTGTTTTCATTTTTAATCCATTCAACCACTCTGCTGTTTGATTGGAGAAAATAATTCATTTATATTAAAGCAATTATTGATATGTAAGAACTTACTATTGTGACTTTGTTAATTGTTTCTGATTGTTTTGTAGTTATTTTGCTTCTTTTATCCTCTCTCACGTCTTCCTTTTTGATTTGTTGATTATTTTTAATTGTGTGCTTTGAGTTTCTTCTCTTTATCTTTTGTGTATATACATAAAGTATCATATAGTTATAATGGTCTATTTTAAGCCAGTAACTATGTAACTTTTGATGCTTACAAAAAACCATACACTTTACCTCTACCCTCCCCAACATTTTATGCTATTGATGTCACATTTTATATCATTTTGTATTTTGTGCCCATTAACCAATTATTGTACTAGTTATTATTAATACTTTTTATTCTACATTTTGTATTAGTGTTAAAAATTATTTATACACCACAATTATGGCATTAAAGCATTCTGAATTTGGATATACATTTACCTTTACTGGTGAGTCTTATATTTTTATGTTGTTACTTAGCATCCTTTTATTTCAGCTTAAACAACTCCATTTAACATTTCTGGTAAAATAGATAGAGTGGTGATAATCTCTCTCAATACAAAATAATACTATAGCCAGCTTATTTGGCAGTTCTTTTTTTCCCTGGTACTTTTAATATATCATTATATTTCCTCATGGCCTACAAGGTTTCTACTGTGAAATCAGATAATCTTACAAAGGCTTACTTGTAGGTGTCGAGTCTTTTTTCTTTTGCTGCTTCCAAAATTTGCCTTGTCTTTGAATATTGACAATTTCATTATAATGTGTCTTAGGATTATCTTCTCTGAATGGATCTTACTTGAGGATGTTTGTGGTTCATAAATCCCTCCCTAAATTTGGAACATTTTCAGCCATTATTACTTGAAATAAGCTTTCTGCCCTCCTTTTTTTCTTATCTTTCTGAGACCCCCATAATATATATATTTGTTCATTTGATAGTATCCCATAGGTCTCATACACTTTCTTCACATTTTTTCATTCTTTCTGTTCCTCTAACCTACTAATTTCAAATGACCTGCCTTCTCATTGATACTTTGCTCTGCATGCTCAAATCTGCTGTTGAAGCTTTCTATTGAATATTCTGTTTCTGTTATTGTATTCTTCAGCTCTAGGATTTCTGTTTCATTTTTTATGTTTTCTATTTTTTTCCTATTAACCTTCTCACTTCATTCATCTATTATTTACCCAGTCTTGTTTAGTTGTTGATCCATATGCTCTTGTGTCTCACTGAGCTTCTTTGAGTTGACTGTTTTGAACTATTCATTAGGTAATCCTTAGATTTTTATTTTTGGGGGGTTGATTATTGGAGTTTTATAAGTTTCCTTTGGGAGTGACATATTTGCTTGATTCTTCATAACCTGTGTAGTTTTGTGTTAGTGTATGTGCGTTTGAAGAAGGTAAACATCCCTTGAAGTCTTCATAGATTGGTTTTGGATGATAAATAACTTCCCCTGTTGGCCCTGTGGGCTAATGAGATTGACCTCTATGATAGCAGTAGAGTGCACATATAGCTGGATCACATGGTTGCTCCTAGGTCTTCAGTAGAGTCTACAATTGGCAGGCCTATTACCAGAAGTTTGAAAGTCATGGATCCTACCTGGTCTCTCAAGAGATGGCACTGCTTTCAGGACCTTGGTCAGTACAGCTGATGCTGGAGCAGGGTCTGCAGTTGGGTGTGCAGATGCCAGGCCTGTTACCAGATGCATACATGGGTGTGGCTCCTATTAAGTCCTGAGAAGGACTCCCATTAGTTCACTGGATAGGCATGACTGACCCCACACTGTGGTTGAGAGACGATGAATCTGAATCACAGGGGAGTGTTAAGATGTCCAGCCAAACTAATTTCAATGGGTCTGTCTCAGGGTGCATACAAGAGTAGCTCCTGCCAGTGCACTTTTGTTTATGGATAGCTGCCAAATTATTGCTGCTTTGGATATTTAAAGGGGGCAACTCCTTATTTCACCATTTTGCTGATATCTTACTTAAGATTTTTAAAAACATTATTGTATTATCAGCACAACCTTGCAAATGGGCTATTATTAATCTAATGTTACAGTTGAGAAAACTGAGGCTAAATAAAAAGGTTAAGTAATTTTTCTTAGGTCTTTAGTAAATTGTGGCTAGTGGACTTAAGAGAAGTTAAGAAACAGTTATGTGAAGACAAACAAAAATCAGGAGGTGGCAAGTGGGAGGAAGACTGTGAGAGAATTAAAAGTGTTCTAAGAAGCTGGGGACAAATATGATTCCACTAAAAGGAAATCTTGCAAGTAGAAAGGAAAATAGAAGTGTGTATTAACCTTGTTTGAAAAATAGAACTATTAGGGCAGAATGCAATGCTGTACACAAAGAAACTAGAGCTAACAGTTTCTCCTCTTTATCACTATAAGCATAAAAATGTTATTTCTTACCTCTCCACATGAGCTCCTCTTCTTATGTGCTTACACAGAGAGTTAGCTTTGCACAGAGAGGGTGATGAAGCAGGACACCTGGAGAAAGGGTCCAACCACTCCACCATTGTCCAGAGTAATTCTTCTCTTGTCCCATATTTCATATTCCATGCCAGAATGTTTCCCTGCAGGTATCCCAATCCACATCCTTGATGGCCTTTTGCTGTTCTTTGAGCTTGCCTCTTTAGAAGGGGGCATCCTATCCTTCACCACATTGACTACATTTATTCCTGCACTTGAGAAAACTTCTGATCATTAAATTTGATTCATATCATCTTGGTAATGTGTTAGCGCCCACATAGATTGGCAACATGAGCAACTGTCCAAAGGCCTACACCTTTAATCTATTTCTCTTTCTAGGCAGTCACTAATATAACCATTCATTCCACAATCATTATCATTTATTCCCTGCTCTAATCTTTATGAACACAATAGTGAACAAAATAGGCATCACCCCTTCACATGTGAACCTTACACACTCCCTCTCTCTCTCAATCTGAGGAATAATGGGAAAAAGGAAATCAAGTATTCATTCTATGTCAATCATGGACATCTTTTTTACATATGAAGAAAGAAATAAGATCACATCAAAAGCCATTGTTTCCTTTAATGACTTTTATCACTTAAATTTCGATTGTAGCCTTTTGTACTATATCAACAGGCAGAAAGAAGTGGATGTGACAGTGTTTGGCTCAAATCAGCCTTCCTAGGTTGAAATGTGCATAACCTACCTTCCCAGCAGTGACAATGAATCTCTCCTCACCAAGTTGCTTGGATCAAACCCACTCTTGAGTCTCTAGGGCTCAGGGGAGTTCAGTGGGCTAATAGGCAATCCCAGTTGAACCTTGGCAGACCTTCCCATCAAACCTCAGGGGTTGCTGGATTTGTAATACAACCCCAAAGGCATTTATGAATCAGCTGCAGTGGAAGCGTTTGCCTGCGGCATTTTGCCAAGACCCTATTAGAAGTCTCTCAGAAGAGCCTGACAACAGATATTATAAAGGCTGAAAAAGGATGATTATGGTCTGCCATTTGAAGAATCTAGATATGGACTACACATCCAGTTTTCTACATTATAGATGAAAATGCAAATGCCCCTAAATATAAACTGTCTATACAGTACCATCTACTATATATTGGCTGCAAATACAGTGAAGATGTTTGTAATCATCTCAACTCTTCCTTGGGATATTGGTAAACTTAAATGATGGAAAGCTCATATTCTGGTACAAATTTGGTATCCTAACCATATCAATTCCTGACATAATGCATCATCTTTTATTAAACAGTATGACTAGCCACTGAAAAAGACTTATCTTCTGGGGCTGGTACCTGCTTTTAGAATCAGACATACCCTAACTGTGTTAAGCAGCCTGAATCTGAGAACTTTAAAACATTGACAGAATGCTGCCAAGAAAGAAAGAAAGAGAGAGAGAGAGAAGAAGAAAGAAAGAAAGAAAGAAGGAAAGAAAAAGAAAGAGAGAAAGAAAGAAAGAAAGAAAGAAAGAAAGAAAGAAAGAAAGAAAGAAAGAAAACTGTTTCTCATGAAGACTGATGGAGAGTTTTAACACTTGCATAAGAAAACAAGGCAATGAGAAAAGACAAGAAATTATGATTGAGTGGTGCTCAAGTTAAATAGAAAAGCTTTGGGAAAAACATTCTTTACAATCCTCAATCCTGCTTTATTAGACTAGAACTAATTATAAATAAATGAATAGATTTTTAACCTCAAAGTTGTATAAATATAATTTTTACCTTTGCTGTAAAGAAAATATAAAGAAAATAAGCCCCTTTCTGAAACAGCATACCTGCTACAAAGATGTTATGAGATGAAACAGATACAGTCTTTTGGGGAGATCCCAAAATAAGATTAATCTCACATATATTGTGAGGCTGATTTTAGGCACAAAATAGTTCCTGCTCTCTATGATCAATTTTAGATTTGCTTCAGCAGAGTTACTAAAGGGGGGTAAGGAAAATATATTTGATACGTAAGTAGGGAGAAAGGTAAAGAAATTGCCCAGAACCATTATATGTTGAAAAAACATAGTTCTGAGAGCAGCTGGAGGGAAAACCACTACCATGCAGATTACTGACATTATAATTTCCTGGTTTTCAGTTTCAAGTTGGCACTGTGTTCAAGCTGACAATGTGTTTACTTCCTGATAGTCAAGATACTTAGTTAAATACGGGTGGTTCAATTCTTAGCCATTTAAAACGTGTGCAAATTCACTCAGCCTCTGACTCCCCTTCACAAATGTATCCCTGTTGGTGCATTTCTTATTTCCTTCTTCCATGTTCCTGATCAATTTTCTTTCATCACCTGTAGGACATCAATCCAGTGGTTTATCTCTTTTACTTGTCCCTTCAATGATTCCTCACTAGAGGATTTTTTCTCATGAAGCTAAAAAAATACACTAAATTTATGCATTCTAAAACAGTCATTGATAAATGTACAAAATAGTGACAAGTGGAAAGGAATACAGAGCTGTATATGTAGAATGAACTCAACATCAAAAAAATTGCATAGAACAAAGTCTTGAAGCAAATAGAACAAAACTTTAGTATTCTCTGAGTCATGGGATTTTAGATTAATTTTATTCTTCACACTTTCTCATAGCCTCCAAACTTTCTACAAATTAACATACATTATTATTTACAGAAAGACATTTTTTAAAAACACATTTGCAAAGACTTATAGTATTATGTAATATTTATCCGGCCAAGCAAATATCTGTATTTATCCAATTTCTTCAGTTTCTGTTCATTCCTCAACTCACCACTATCTGAATTCCATCTTCCCTGCTTCACAGAGAAGCTCTTGTAGGTTCAAGCTAAACTTCATTCTTGCCAAATTAAAGGACTATCAATCCTTGTCATGAGGAATTCCACTGTTGCATTTGCCTTTGTCGATATCTTCCTTCACTTAAAACATTCTCTTCCCTTAATTTCCATTCATACGTTTGGGTCTGTCTCCATCATGATACCCTCTTTCTCCTCTAATTCCTTAAATGCTGAGACATTTTAAAAGGCTTAGTCATAAATCAGCTGCTTTTCTCTCTTTTTTTTCCCTCCCAGGGCAATACTATTCACACAAATACTGTAGATTATCCAATACACATATGCTGGCCATTCTGAAATCCCTAGTTCTTATTCTGATCTAAACTGTTTTAAAGTTTAGGGGACATAAATGTACTTCATGTACATAGCAAGAGATATTATAGCCATTTTAAAGAACATATTTAATAGATTTTACAATATAATATATTTTATGCTTCAGATAGAAGTTTGGACTTGTACGTATAGGATAGTTCTTATTACATTGGGAATAATATACTCAGATACAATCACATAACAAAAACTCAAAGATGTGTATTTTCACATTTGATTTTATTGGTGCTTATGTGGTAGATTTTACATTTCAATAAAACGATAAATAAAACCGAAAGAATGCAAATACAATACAACAAAAATACTCCAAAATAAAAGCAAAAATGTGTACTATCACTTGAAGAGAAAATTATTATGACAAGTGCTGTAGAAAACTGATTATTTTATTGGTCGCATATAATCTTACAGTGAGTGATAAGCAGACATTCTAAAATATCTAGCGAAATTTTATAAATGGTAATGACACAGTGGCTTGAATTTTTCCTTTTTTCTGTTTTTTTTTCTCCCAAGGATGTCCAAAAGCATTAGAAAATCAAATAATAATGTACAGTTATCAGACACTCACTTGGCAAATGGTTAAAGAATGATAAAAATTGCTAATATATCCATTGAATTGTTGAAAAATTAACTAAGAAATTAAATTCCTACTTGGTGTAATTAGTCTTTATACCTCTAGTTCTTTAAAACAGAGATGTCATTCCTTTTCAGGAGCCTTGTGCCATTCACAGTGCCCTAGATTGTGAGTTAACAAGCCTGGTTCAAAATTGGGCTTTGCCTTAGACTTTATGTGAATTCTGGGAAGTCATTTTTACTCTCTGAGCCTCATGTTCTCCAACTATGAAGGAAGTAAGAATATAGCAGGATTGTTGTAGAACAGTGCATGTAGAAGCAAAATCACTCTGTCAAACACTGTCTGGAATGCAAAGTCCATTGAATTTCTTGAAATAATCATTAAATTCTTAATTTAAAAGGAATAGAGAGTATAACTTTCACCCTGGGATAGGATTAATTGATGTTTAAAAAGTACAAAAAAAGTACTTTCTGAGGTTTTTACAAAGAGCAGAATTTTTGCTCTTACTTTTCACAGGTCTTGTACAAGCAGCTCTGATTAGGTGTGTACTGGTACGTTCACCCAGAGAGGGTAGAGCTGGGATCAGTCTCAACTTCTAAGGTCTGGGGACCTTGGTGTGCATTTATTTCTTCATTCAACAGTTATTTAGTGAGACTTTATTGTATGCCGGCAACTAGTAGATACTGAGCATAGTGTTGGACAAAAACCTGATTTTATTATTTACTCTTCTGTTTACTAACTGGATAATCTTGGGTCAGTCACTTAAACTATCTGGCTCTCAGTTTCCTCAGGCTTAAAATGAAATGAGATAAATTATTTTTCTACTCTGTTTCTATAATCCTAAAACTCATTAGGAGGTGAGATACTTTCTAAAATATTAATATGTTCCTTTAATTATTCTCCTTCTACATATATAACTTATTTAAAAAAGTTTTAGAAAACATTTGGAAAATCAATGTTTAACTTAGGTTATTTTGAAATCTTAAAAACTAATATGCTTTTTCTTTTTCTTTTCATAAGTTTCTTTTGGAAGTAAGTGTGTAAGTAATGAATAAAACATCTAACTGCATATGTGTGCAGATGCAAATAGAATTAGGCATTTCATAGCTGGTTGGAGCAAGAATTCCTATTCTGTCTCTCTCTTCACTTACACTGCTGCTTGGAAAAGGCAGGCAGAGAGAGACATTTCATATCCATGCCCAGTCAAAGTGACTGTTTTCTGGGGATGGGAAGACAGTAATGACATCCTCTAACTCTGGAAAACTTTACCACCAGAAGTTTAAGATCTGAGACAATCTGGGAGAATCACTGGAGATTTAACATAAACCCCGAGGACCACCTTTGAGGCAGCAGGAATTACCTGGAGTCTGTAGAGCGCTTCTACCCGCAAAGGACATTCTTCCTATGGAGAAGATTATATCTTTCCCACTGTCACTTTATGATACAGTCCCAAACAATCAGGACAAGTGGGGAAGTTTCTCAGGTCTCACAACTCAGCATGAGAAAAGATGGCAGAATTAATAAAAGCAAAAACATAGTATATGTCACTGAAATTAATAAGTTTTTAAAGTAATTTGAATAGTCTGTGGGAATCTGGATTTGTGTCACTGACATGTACCCCTTTCTGGTGATCCTGAATAATACTGGAGGGTTAAATTCAAATTTTGGGCTCATATTTAAAAGCAAGTTGAAAACACATAGAAGTCCCAACATTTCTGTTTCTATAAATGTTTATATCTGGGACCATATAATGTTGAAAACAGAAGGGAAAGATAAAACATACATCTTTGCATGTTTTAACAATTCTAAATGAGAAATTAATGTTCACTAAAACCTTTTCTATAAAGAGACAGACCTAAAAGTGATAAAAAGAAATAGGATTGGAAGGCGGCGGGGGCAATGTCATGTATCTAGTGTTGTATGGTTTACGCGTTATCTGCTAGTATGGTTGCACCGCAAATTTATTGAAGCTGGTGCCCATCGTACCCTGTGCGTCTCATTTTTAGAACAATCATTTATGGGTGTGAGAGGATGCCTAGGAGAGCATAAGGGTTCTGTGTCAATCAAAGCTAATCACTGGTACAGGCAGAGGGTTTTGTTGGCCTCCATGCTCTAAGCCGTGCTTCCACATCTGTGTTTGAAGAGATTAGAGAGGTGCTTCATACAAGAACTGTATTAGTTAAAGCTGATCGACAGTATTTGGAATAAATCACGAAAAAGTTGAGTGCCAGAAGGGAAGGCATGGCAAGTGGGAGATTGAAACTCACGAGGACTAAATCCCTCCTCCCTTTTCCCCAGTTTGAATTTGGGGTTTGCTCACTGGAGGGCATACCAGGTGCCATGCTGTTGCCACTTCCTAGCAAACACGCAGTAGCTCAGCCAACAAGCCCGGCGCCAATGCTCTCAGCGACATGCTCACCACACTTTGGCAAAGGGTTCCAGTTTTATTTGAGGTGCTTCATGGAAAACAGATTAGCCCAAGCCAGTAAGTGGGATTTTAGGACCAAGGATGGGAATGAATGAAAAGTGAAAAAGATCCCAGCAACAATGAACACCAAAGCCCCTCTCTGTTTGCAGCACTTTTCTCCCTGCATGAAGGCCATACACGGGCAAATAAATTATGAGTGACAAGTATTTGAACCAATAAAGAGGGCACTATATTTTATATGCAGTAAATTTAATTCCAGATTGTGTTTCACCTCAGCAGGGTGACATGTTTATTGCCAGTGAAAGATGAAAGCCGAGGGAGTTAGAGACAAGCATCAGCAGTTCTAGTGGGCACCCGCAAAATGAAGATTTGACAGACCAGTGGCTGAGCCCTTGAAATGAAATGCCAGATCAAATTTTACCCCAAAGGGGTCAGATGTACTGTCATGCCCCCAAACTCGCAATACCAGCTGAATAAATGAGCCAGGTTCAGCTGAGAGCAGAAGGCCAAGAGCATGTTCTGCGAATTTCTGCTCACAGGATCATCAGCTTTTCCAAGTGCAGCGAGCCTGGGAGTGCCGGATGAGGTGTGTCTGAGGGAGGATGTGAAGTGCTGCTGCCTCCATGGGGCTCTAAGTGTCATTTTAAAAATCTATTAAACAGATCGAAAAGTAGAAGTGAGTCTAAATTGATCTGCCTGTCTCTCAATTTCATCCTACAAGCGCTCAGCTCAGGTGTTCAATTTATTGAACCATAACCTCTTTTTAAACAATCAGCATCAACACGCAATAAATATGCTCCGCAAGGACAATATTTACATGCATGACTCATTGTTTTGGAAGATTTATTTATGGGGGAACTGACTGGCAATTATACTGGAGTTCCTTTGGCAGACTGTGGCACAGTGGCATGCGGGCATGGTTCTGGTTACTGCAAAAAGTAAGCACATTGAAAGAGACTAATTCTTTTTTTTTTTTCCTACAAAACAGGCCCTATGTCCTCATTGCAAGTGTGGGGAAGAATTTATGTTGTAATCTATACATGACTTCACTCTTCATCTAGAAAAAAAAAAAAGGAAAGAAAAATAAAAGTAAAAGAATGAAAAAAAAGAGAAATGAAAAGGTTCTAGTCTAAGGAGAGTATGTCCATGAAGAGTTTACCTGATAAGTCCCATAGTGATGTTGATTTACGTAAAATAACCAATCTTTCTTTTCGTCACTTACAAAACAAGTTCTATCATCCAATATATGGATTGGGCTAGTCAAGTGCTTTCAAACTCATTTGGGTAGACATAGTGTCATCAACTCTTGAATCAATCAGAAGGGTTAACATTTTAATCAGTTCCTTTCACTGACTCTGCCCTGTAGGGAAGACAGTAGAATCTACCATGTATTTAACTTTGCTTAATTGTATTTTAAGCATGCTTCTCATAATTCAGTGTCATAAAGATGAAAATGTAAAATTTCTGGACCTTGTAATTTCAGAGTTACTTTCTTTCTGTCGTGACTTACTTTGCACATCTTCTCTTGACTTTGTACATCTTTTACATATTATCACTGAAGCTATGGAGAACATGTGTTTTCATGCCTGGATGGAGATCTGGGAATTCGAATAATGTTATAAGCACCACCTCATTGATCTTTGGAGCTTTAGATGACGGACTTGTTTCCTGTGAGAGTGACCTCATATTTGGTGAATGAAGCTCTGGAGCAGGAGCAAGGGAACCTGGACTCCTGGTGGTACCCTGAAATACAAGAACACTTGTGATATAAGTAAGAACAGCTACAATGAACAGTAATTGCCTCTCTAGTACTCACTCCTTGAGTATATTTTGAGAGTTAATGATGGTCTGAATGTGTTCAAATTTTTTAAGATCTTAAAATGAGAGTTGTTGTATGAAGGACACTTCCACACACAGATGACAGACACTTAATTGTGGAGCTTATGGCCATTCGATCACTACTGCTAATACCGTAGTCCAGCATTATTTTCTGACCACCAATTTATTCTAGTTATTCAATCCTTTTTCCATGTTCTCCCATGTAGCCTAGTAGTGGAGCATTCTTAAGCTCATTTTCTCTGTGCTGCTCCAAATATTCCAGAAGTCTGTCTTTCATCACATCGATTGCATCTCTCTTTCCCCTAGGTTCTATGTGCCCTGACCTTCTGTATCTCTATGTTCCCCACTGTTTTCTCCGTTTTCCTTTCCAGGCTTCTTTGTCTGTTTTTTTAAGCCCTCCCGTGTGAACTATGCTTAGAATAGAGTCTCATTTGTCTGGCATATGCCCTTCCTTTTGGCCCAAGATCCCTCAAAGACTCCACAGGCTTTCAAAGCCATACAGCATGTGTTCCTGCCAAATTAATCTATTCAGTTTGTTTTCCTTTTAGCAGTTCATAATTATTGATCTTACTTATAATTCATTACAAGTTCTTGGGATAAAAGAAGGGTGGAAGGATTGGTAGTTTCCACACAACTGAAAATATTAATGATGTGAGAAGAGAAATGATATTTGACCCAAGAATAGTCAAATTTGTTATAATCATTAATGTACAAGACTTCCAATACATTTTACAGTTAGAATGAACAAATTTCACATCATGGACACATGATAAACCTTCTATTCCTATCCTCTTTTATTCTGTTCATCCTGAAACCATGTTGTCAAGTACTTTTTAATACCTTCTCTCACATTCCTCTTAGATTTGTTTTTCCTTTTCAAATCCACAGCGAACTTCAACATTCAGGCATTTTTCACTCTAACCTAGGCTACCTCAGGGACCTTCTAACCAGGGCGTGAAATCTTTCTCTCTGTACCATGGCTTCCTGGAATCTGTTTCCTTTGTGTCTCCCCTGTAAAATTAAATTCAAACTACTTGTCATTCTGTTTAAAATCCTCCATTCTCTCACCATCCCAAACCCACTAACCTGACATTAGGTGTATGGTGTAATTATTGGAGGCTCAGTTTCCTCTTAAACATTTGCACTCCCACAGTTTTTTTTTTTTAAGATAGTGATAAGCATGTATAATACTTACCATCATGCCTAGCACAAAATAGGTGCTCAATAAATGACACTTTATTATTAATTATGACAAATGGTCCTTCTGTTTCTACCTAACTAATCTTTACCTTCTTCATGGAAGATGACTTCACATTCCTCTCCATCACACTTTATTCATGCTTTTTTTTTTTTTTTTTTTTTTTTTTTGAGACGGAGCTTTGCTCTTGTTGCCTAGGTTGGAGTACGATGGTGCGATCTCGGCTCACTGCAACCTCCACCTCCTAGGTTCAAGCGATTCTCCTGCTTCAACCTCCCTAGTAGCTGGGATTACAGGTGCCCACCACCACGCCCAGCTGACTTTCGTATTTTTAGTAGAGGCAGGGTTTCACCATGTTGGCCAGGCTGGTCTCAAACTCCTGATCTTAAGTGATCCGCCAGCCTCAGCCTCCCAAAGTGCTGGGATTACAGGCGTGAGCCACAGTGCCCGGCTTGTTCATGCTTTTATAGGTATATTCTCCTCCTCTTCTCCACCTATAAGACCTGGCTTCAATGTCTCCTCCTGCTAGAAACCTCTCTCATTGAGTACTTTCAGTGTCTGCAAGCCAGGAAGAGAATTAATAGACATTAGGGCAGCTTTGTAGGTTATGTTTAGAGTAATCCTATGTAGCTCCTATAATTTAGGATTATAGTTTGGAAGAATACCCAAATCTCTTTAATAACAACTTCTGCTGAATTATGCTAAATATCCTATGCATATTTTCTTATTTAAGTTCTAGCATTTCCATCATCCTTTAAGGTCCAATTAAATGTCTACCTCCACTTTTTCCTGATCCCTGTCCACTAGGTGATCTTTGATGATCTTTGGTCCCAGGGGAAGTGATTGTTTCTTAATCCTTAATTTGTTGAATCACATAGTATTAAATGTTGTGGTTGAACATGCTCATTTCATATATGTTTTAATGAACATGGAAAGGGGAGGGTACTGTTCAATCTGATAAATGTTTACTGAAGTTCTAGAAGGCCACCGAGTCTGGTGGTGGAAGTGGTAAAACATAGTGGCACATACGGCCTCTAGCTGACAAACACATTTCAGAAAGGCTGGGGACAGCTGTGAAAGGAGAATGACATGGTAAAATGATCAAGGATAAGATAATTCATAAATGCGAGTTGGCTGTCCAGGTTTAGTGGACCACCAGTGAAAAGATATGGAAGAATTTCAATTTGACTTTACTTGCATTATAATCTATTAAGTTTTCAAATAGACAACGTTATTTTAAAAAGATTTAGTCGTGTATCATAGTGTCCCCAAATTGTATATGGTTAGCGAATATTTGTTGAATGAAAAGAAAAGTAAATGACATGTGGTTACAGTCTTTCCATATAATTGATTTTTTTCATTTTTATTGATCTTAGAAAAGTCTACAGCATCTGAATTCTATAGTATATGTTTCTCTCCTACAGTGTGAGTCACTGGTATGGTAATCTGTAGAAGCTGAAATTGATTATAAATGAATCAAAGTTGAACTGAGTTTGAATGGACAGTAGTTGAGTTGAGACCAAGGAAGTAAACAAGAGAAAGAGTTGCAATTACAGTGTAAAAATGAGCATTTTAGAGCAATGTTGAATAAAAATATTGCCTGGGATAGCAAAGTTCAATTGTGCTTACACTGCTAAGATTTTTTTAGCTCTTCTTCTATATACTTTTCCCCCAGAAGGTGTTAATTGATGTTGGCATTGAATCTTTTGAAGCAGTGGGAATTCATACTTTAAAATGTCCAATTAGCTGCAAAAATGAGTGATGGAATGGGTAGCTGAATATTTTTAAAGGCTGAGAAGCACCTTCATTTGAGGGCATCTAAAACAATGCCCCATATCAGCCTCCAAGGATCTTTCCTTCAACTTTTGCTTTATCTCTTTGTACAGAGGCTAGGATAGCAGCATACAGCCCCCAAAAGGAGAATCCTTACAATTTTCTTCAGAATGCCAAGTGTTATAGTGAACGATAAATAACCTTTCTGTAACAAGCAGCCCTTTTTTCCCCCACTGGAACAAACTGTTCAACTCTATTTGAATAAAAAGCCCACACATATATCAAATTAAACAAAATAGCATTGTTCCAAATACAGATCAGGCAGTCTTCCCAGACTTGTGTCAGTAAAATTTCATAGCACTCCACACCATTGTATAGAAGCTCTTTCTCTTCTTCTTTATGTGTGAATGCAGAATCACTATTCCTAGACAAAGGAATGCAGACAGAGGCTATGTTCCCCATGCAGTTGAATAAAATAAAGGTCCAACCAGGGACTTCGATGGCAAGAAAAAGGAATGCACCACTGAAAATACAGGTGGAGACAGTACTACACAACCATATTAAGAGCAATTGATCAGCAAGAAGCTATTTTGCTTATTGCCTGGACAAATATTTCCACATTTGATGAGGCATAACTCTGGGCAGATCCTAATGAACCAGGAAGCTAATTGTGTGCTGTGTGTGTGAGATTGGATGGAGGCAGTTGTGTATTGAGGCCATCTTAACCAACTCATAAGAGCTGACTATCAAATTTTTAGGATTTTGCAAGCTGTTTTTATATACAGCCAGTATTAACAGTTAATTTTTAAAAAGTATTTAATCTTAAAATTCAATAAGTTATATTAAAAATAACAGCAACACTCCAAATTTATTGCTTTTTATCTTACTACATTTTGCTATAATCTGTGCTTTTGAAGTTATTTGCATCTATTGTCTCTACATGAGTGGTTATTCTATGCAATGATGATACTTCGTGCCTGTTCCCCACTCTGCATTCAGTGGTATCACATTGGTAGCTTGGAATTAGCCCACATTACAAACCAGGGTTATTGCTTTTATTTTTTTCCCCAAGAGAGCTGATTTTTAAACATTCATCGGCATACTGCTGTGGCTGGAAGCTCTCTGAGAACAGACATAACTTCCCATGCAAACTTAGACTGCTTACCTGAACAGGAATTTGGGCAGGGTCTGCCTTCAGTACTTCAGGGTTAAGAAGAAATGTCTGTGCAGGACTTACCAGTGCACTGGGGTAGAGTGAGCATGTTGTGCTGCCTTCTAGGAAAGCACACTAGGAAATTAAATTCCTCGATTCTGACATCTCCAATTGTTTTTTAAATATTAGAGCTTAATCTAGGAAGATGTTTATTATTGCGATGAGTTGGTTTATTAGGAAACATTTATATTCACTCTCACTGATGTGATATTTGTCAGTCTTACCAAATGTGGTATAGATTCATCCTGAATTGGCAGTAATGGAACAACAGTGTAGCACAGCAGGAGGACTTTAGCCATCACTTTTTCCACTCTTCTCATCCTCCCAAGCTCCCTGTTATCATACTGAGGAGGTAGACCAGGATAAGGTACACAAGTTTGGGAAATAGAGGGTATCATCCTGTACTGCTTTTTTTTTTCTTTCTTTTTTTTTTTTTTTTTGCCACATATATCTTTCTAGGCTTACAGCTCAAAGTGACATGATTTCTTATGGTATTTGTTGCAGGTTTGAACTCGCTAGGGGTTCATATAATTATTTTCTCTCTAATTCAGCCCCTATGGCTGCATTAGGCCAATTACATTATAATAATTCATAATTTATTTAGGTAATCATAACAAAAACATCCATAAAGTATCAAGGGTTATATAGACACAGAGTACACTATAATACATGCATATAGATATATATGTATAAGTGTGTGCATATATATACACACACACTAGGCATATATCTCCTATTTGTGTACATATACTATACATACATATATAAAGATATATATATACACACACACAAACACACACACACGAACACATATACAATTGATCACTGAGCAACGTGGAGGTTAGGGATATTGATCTCCTTCACAGTTAAAATTCCATGTAAAATTTTGGATCCTCCCAAAATTGACTACTAAAGGCCTAATATTTATTGGAAGCCTTACTAATAACACAAAGAGCATATTAACACCTATTTTATATGTGTATGTATTATATACTATATTCTTACAATAAAGTAAGCTAGAGAAAAGAAAATGTTATTAAAAACTTAAGAAAGAGAAAATATTTTTGCTATTTATTAAGTGGAAGTGGATTATTATAAAGGTCTTCATCTTTTTTGTTGTCTTTAAGTAGGCTAAAGAGGTGGCAGAAGAAGAGGAGGGGTTGTTTTTGCTGACTCAAGAGTGGCAGAGGCAAAAGGAATCCACATATAAGTGGACCTGTGCAGTTCAAACCTATGTTACTCAAAGGTCAACACACACACATGTGCATGCTCACACACGTGCATGCATACACACACACACATTAAAAAATGTGCTTTGACCTGGAATATCTCTAGTCACAGCTCATTGGATAATGTTTATATCAAGACCAAGGCAATGTTTTTATTGTTTTAAAGTAAATATATTTTGTGGACCAAGAAAGTATGTATATAAATAAATCAATATTTCTGATGGTGACCATAATATTTCATGATGTTGTGCTACAAGAGGCAGGTAACAGTTATAGCATCTCTCAATCAAATTCCCTCTTTTGTTAGGGAATAAATTCTTCTAAGAATATCATGTGATCTTGCTATTTGGTTCTGTGCACAGAGTAATCTCTCCCAATGTTTAAATTGTACAACTGTCTGATGCAGTCTACCTTGAGGACCAAATCCCTTATTTCACAATATTAAACAATTATTTTTGGCTACACCATTGAATTTCAACTGCCTGGGGTTGTTCCAAATCAAGTCAAATTAAGAATGTATACACTAGTAAATTGAAGAAACAGATAAGCAGAAGCAGAAAAAAACCAATAGGAAGATTATCCTTGTAATGTTTCATTAAGCAACTTACATTAGGAAAGAAAAAAATCATTAATGCTAACCCACGTTTGAACTTAAAACAAAAAATTCAAACTGATTCACACAGTGTTTTTTTTTACAAGTAACCTGTGCTTTTAATAGTCACTCTTTGATACATGACAAGTATCATCTTGAATTTTATGTGAACTGATTCACAAAAGTCATTCAGCAAATTAATGTAGTTTTGGAAAATTAACAGCAAAATAGGCATGCCGCCAAATGTCTAATGACAAATTGAAGGGTTTGGAGATGTGTCTGTCTGTTTGCAGTATTGGAACTGTTTTCAAAATAAAAACATACTGAAAACAGTGCTGGCATGACAGGAGATGCAGTCATTATGCAATTTTAATTGACAAATAATTCCATTTTTATGTGAATAAATCCACCTAGCCAATAACTGCATTATCATCTATCATGTGCTGGTTTCCCTTCCCATCTCATGCACCCTCTAATTTTGATGAATTTGATCAAATATATCTGGCAGCATAGCTGTATCTGGCAAGTCAAGGAAAGACCACAGCGAGTTGGGGGGAGGGGGCAGGTAGGAGGATGGTAATTTGTCACAGGAATGGAGACCGTCTTTAGCATTACCTGTTGTGCAGATATTATTATCCTCCATTTATCTTCCAGCCTGAATATTCGGATTTGTGATGTGTCCTATTCTTTCAACAAGGTGCTAAGCATCTCTCCAATTTAACTCAGGTGTACAAAGAGTATATGTGTAGGGGTGGAGACTGAAAAAATTGGAAATCTTCATCAACGTATGTATAATTAATCTTCAGATGTTGGCTTTAGAGTCCAGCATAGTAGCCCCAGTATATAGCCCACTTTCACATAAGAAGCAGCTGAAATTCAAAATGATTACAAATATGAGCATACTCTAGCTAAGGGTAGGTATTCCAATGGTGGCATTAAATATAAATACAATAGAGTATTGACATAATGTAGTAAGGTTCCCTCGCTATTAAAAGGCTTTGTTCTAAAGTGTATCTGTGTACACAATGAGATGATGAACACAGTGCATTACATAGCTAAATTTAATATATGCAGGGGTATGATGTTTGCAATGCATGCATTTCAGCAGGTCCCATTAGTACGCCTTTCCCCTCCAGTGAAAACAGAATGAACCACAGCCCCTTCTGGTTTGCATAAAGCAAACAAAATTAGATTTGCTTTGCTGAATTGAAACCCGCTTGGGATTGTGAGCCTCTCTCGGGGACAAATTACTTCAAACAATCCCTTTGTACCATAACAAAATCAAAAAATTCAGGCCAATCAACATGGCTCAAAACCCTTAACACAAGAATTAATAATACAACCTAGTCTATTTTTATTGCTTCTGTGCTACAGCTCCTTGTTTTAATGTAATTACACTTATTTGCCGTCCACATGTTAAGTAAGCTTGCATATGTTAACTAATGCGACATAAAACAACTTTCCTAATTTTAGCATTGCTACAAGCATTGTTCCCCCTGGAATAAGATCTGAACGTTGGACAAGTTGAACACTAATGTTATTAAATTAAATCTATTTTTAGACCCTTGATAAATGAATATAGACAAAATGTCAAATGATTCTTCAGATAGGTGTAGAAGCTGATTGACAATCAGATTAGTCTATTAAGAATATTGGTTTATGGAGCGTTATGCACTTGATATCTCTTGGCTTTTAAAGCTCATTCCTCTGCAGAAGAGAAGAGCATGTATGTCTGTAAATACGGAATCTCTTAAATCAGGTATCTGGTCAATGATCTCTTAAATTCAGCAGCTGGAGTAAGTATCAAGATGATATATATTCCTACTGCTTTTAACACCTGAAAATCAACAGAGGTTGTACACCACTAAAACTTTCACCTGAACCACAAGTTTACTGACTTTTCTGATTTGAAATTTAGAATTTGGAATAACTTTTTTCCTACTGCTCTTAAAAATGTATAGGTTAGATAGAATATTTGAGTTCACAAAATCTTGGTCTTCTGCAATCAAAAACTGTTTTCCCCATTTCCTAGTCCATCACAAACACGATATCATCCTTGGGAAAGCAGAGTATGTCAAATATTTATACATCAAGGAAGGTTTTACTTAACTTTTAAGATGCAGTTAACTCTGAGTGTCTTGAATGAGCTTCACCTGGCACCAAAAAATACCCAAGTGGAAAGCTGGAAAAGGCCAATCTTTAAGCATAGATGTTTAAGCATTTAGACATAAGTAACCTAACAATTTGATTTAACCACTTGCCAATTCTATCCAAAAGATCATACAGTCTCATTGTTTGCTGTTGAATATATAAATGTGATTGATATATTTCTCTTCCTTCCTACCAGCTACGCTGATTCAATATGAGTTTCTAATATACACATACACACAATTCTATAATCAAATTATTTATTGAAGGTCTTATATTAAAAATTTCTAATTAGATTTCTGTTAAATATGGCAGACAATTGATCAAAACAGTTAATCTTATGCAAAGGTCTCAAATTGGGCCTATAAATAGGTGCATTTTCTCTATGAAAGACAGCCTTTATAACAGGTACAATTAGAATGCTTTTATATAAGGCACAACTGTTCCAGTTCCCTGCCAGTCTTCTTACAATTAGGTAATGCCTGACCCCTGAAAGCACTTATACTTGAGATGCCCTGATCAGTCACTTACATTAAAAGAACTTATATGGTAAACAAAGTACTTATGAGAAGGGTATAAAATTAGAATTGACATTGGGGTTTCTCCACATAAAATCTACCTCTGAGAGCTGCAGGATTGTGTGTGTGTGTGTGTGTGTGTGTGTGTGTGCACGCGTGTGTGTTGTGTTTAATTCCACTGAATTCTCCCCCCTTTAGAATCTGTGTTGTAGTACAGGTGGAGGAGGGGGAAATGAGTGCCATTCAAAGAGAAGACCAAAGGGCAGTGGATGCTGTGTTTAATTCCACTGAATTCTTCCCCCTTTAGAATCTGTGCTGTAGTACAGGTGGAGAAGGGGAAATGAGTGTCATTTGAAGAAAAGACCAAAGGTCAGTGGATCACATTGGCCTCTTATTTTGAATGACCACTTCTTCATGTCAAAATGTTAACAGCACAAATCTTTTAAAGAACAAGGGATAATGTAATTATTTTAGTTTTATTCATAAGACATAGGAATGCAAACTACCTTAGTTTTCTGCTATTTTTGCTTTCTATTATTTAGGTCTCATATTAAGTTCTTGGATCAGTTCCCAACCTATTGTGATTCTAATTTGATTTGTATACCCCCGTCTTTCTCAGAGGTACTTTAAAAGTCTTAGATAAAAGAAAATGAATTAGTTGTCTGTACATGCCAGAGTAGCAAGAGCAGGGATATAAGATCAGGGAGCTGCTCAGCTTCAGCAAGAACAATTAAGTGATCTTACACCTGCCCTTGCTCCCCCTTGCTCCCTCATCTCACAAATCACTCTTTTGTTCTCCAGCTTTACCTCGGTGCCCTATTTCTCTCTAGTGCTGGTGCAAAGTGTCCAGTTTAGCCTTCTAGCTCCCTTTCTTACAAGCTGTAATACTTTGGTGAATACTTTAGCTCTTCAGATGCTTGCTTTCTCTGAAGTCATGATACCTGCCCTCAATGGATTTTCTTAATTGATAAGATTATCCTCTTTGAGAACTCTAATGCATACCACATATGTCACTATTATTTCCTTGCTCATTCTCTCTCATCTCCTCTTAGACTATCTCTTATGTGTGTCTCACTGAGTTAGATGAAGATTGTTAGCCCAACGAAGTTAAAGGAGTACTCTGTCAGATTATACTTCATTAGCCCTCAGTTCATTATTTTTTTCTGATTCAGAGAAAATAAAACTGATGTTGATCTAATGTAGCTGGTGGGAAGCTAATGGACCTGTTTGAAATGCTCAAACTGCCACTTGAATTATAGATTTTGCACTGACGTTCATGTAATATATAGATTATCATCATGGGTCTCCTTAATGTGATATATGGTAAGTGGGGACATTCTGGGATTAAAGACCAAATCAGGTGAGATTTTAAGGCATTTCCACTGCTTGCTAGTAGGTCAAATACTTAACTTTAGTGGACACACATGTACAATGGGAATAGTAACACCCACCTTGCAGGATTGTTGCAAGAATTAAGTGGCAAAATAGCAGAAATATAATAGGTAGTCAACAAAGTGTAGCAATTATATATTTGATTGTTATATAAAATACGAAGTATAGCATGCAGCAAATAGTACCTGATCAATAAATGTTGGTTCCAGTTTTTCATATCTTACTCAGTTTAACTGAAACATTTTTTATAAAACATCTCAATGGACTCTTTACATTTATAACTAGACCAGACACAGTGACTTATGCCTATAATCCCAGCACTTTGGGAGGCTGAGATGGGAGGATCCTCTGAGCCAAGGAGCTTGAAACCAGCCTGGGAAACAGAGAGATAACCTGTCTCTCCAGAAATAAATAAATAAATAAATAAATTAGCTGGGCATGGTGGTGTTCACCTGTAGTTCCAGCTACTTGAGAGGCTGGTGTGGGAGGATTACTTGAGCCCAGGAAGTGGAGGCTGCAGTGAGCCATAATTGCACCACTGCTCTTCAGCCTGGTCAACAGAGAGAGACCCTGTCTCCCTGTCTCCAAAAAACCCAAAAAGCCAAAAAACAAACAAACAGAAAACCGATATAACTAGCAAAAATTACTTTATCAAAGAACTTCTTGCATTCTAAATAGAGTCTCAAGTTGGAAAAAAATTTTATCTCATGAAAATGTTAACTGATTTGATTAATTCTAAAATTTATCAATATAAGACCACAAAAGAGGTGAGCAACAAGATAATAGTCAGTAGTTGTGACAATAGAAATAACCACCTATATTTCTACTGTGCCCATTATATATGCCACACACATAGACTACAGAAATGCTGAGCAAATATTAAATGATTACTTAAAAAAAATTGGGATGAACTTTATTGTTCTGAAATGGGGCTAATGTTTTCACTTTTCCCATTTGAAAACTAGCATCATTTCCTGCCAGAAAAGTATTTTCCTCTTTCTTTCCTTTGCAACCTTTCTGCTTCCTTCACGTTGTCCTATAAAAATACAGTAAGCAAGACAGTGTGGTTACCATAAAGATATATATACAAAATAATGAAATAGATAGAGACCAGAAATAGAACCACAGCTATATGACAATTGATTTTCCACAAAGATGCCAAGACAGTTGAATGGGGGAGGGAACAGCCTTTTCCATGTATGGTGCTTTAATAGCTGAATATCCTTATGGGGGAAAAATGAATTTTGACTATACACTATACACAAATTTAACTAAAAACTGATCATAGACATAAATGTAAGAGTTTAAACAGTGAAGTTCCTAAAAAAAAACACAAGGGGCTGGGAACGGTGGTGCACACCTGTAATCCCAGCTACTTGGGAGGCTGGGGCAGGAAAATCGCTTGAACCCAGGAGGTGGAGGTTGCAGTGAGCTGAGATCACACCATTGCACTCCAGCCTGGGTGACAGAGCAAGACTCCATCTGAAAAAGAAAAAAAGAAAACATAAGGGGAAATTTTTGTGTCCTTAAGATAAAGATTTCATAGAGATGACACAAAAGGCACAAACCATGAACAAAAGAAATTGATATATTATGTTTTATTAACATTAATAAGTTCTACTTTTCAAATACATAATTTAGAAAATAAAAAGGCAAGGTATGAACTAAGTTTTGTAATACTTGTATTTGCAATACATATATCTGATAGAGAGCTTTATCAAGATTTATAAAGAATTTTTACAACTCAATAATAAGACGATCTTAATAGATAATGGGCAAAAAAACCCCCACAGATTCTTTGCAAAGGAAGACATACAAATGACCAGTAAACACATAAAAAGATGCTCAGTATCAATAGTTATTAAGAAAATGTAGATTAAAACTACAATATGATATGACCTCACACCTACTAGAATGGTTAAATTTTTAAGAAACTGAAATACTATATATTGGAAAGGTTATAGAGCAACTAGAACTCTCACGCATTGCTGGTGGAAATATGAAATTCATTGCCACTCTGGAAAAGTATTTGGCAATTTCTTTAAAATTTAATGTATACTTAACATGTAATCCTGCAATTATACTATTAGTAATTTACCAAGAAAAATGAAAACAATTTTCATACACAAGTGTTGATAATAACATTATCCATAATAGCCCAATTCTGGAAATAATCTTAACTGCTCATTGACATGTGAATAGATAATCAAATCTGGTATATCCATATAATGGAATACTACTCAGTAAGAAAAAAGAACACACATGGATGAGCTCAAAAACATCATGCTTAGCAAAAGATGCCAGACAAAAGAGTGTAGATACTGTATGATTCCTTTTATGTAAAATTCTAGAACAAGCAACTCTAATCTGTAATGATGGAAAACACATCAGTGGATGCCTGAGGCTGGGGTTGGGGAGGGGAAATTGTAAAGGGTTAGGAGGGAAATTTAGGGGTGGCAGAAATGTTTAAATATTGATGTGGTGGTGATTACAAGTTTGTATGCCTTTGTCAAAACTCATTAAACTTCACACTTGAAATAGATGCATTTTATTACATGTAAATTATTACTTTCATAAAGTTGTTTTAAAAAAAGTAGCTAATATATTAGTGTATGCAACATTTGATTGCCTACTGCTATAATAACTGTTATGAAGCCAACTGCATGTGTAATCACA
Organism: Homo sapiens; assembly: GCF_000001405.40. Taxonomy (NCBI): domain Eukaryota; kingdom Metazoa; phylum Chordata; class Mammalia; order Primates; family Hominidae; genus Homo; species Homo sapiens. Next base: position 98,449,487 of record NC_000006.12, on the reverse strand, counting down.
AATGGCAGAATGCTTTTCTCTTGGGAAAAATCATGAGTTGAAGTTTTCCCTACTAAAATCATGATTTGGGGTTTTTAAGTTTGCTTTATAAGTTTGCTTCTATGTGTAGGCTCTAATCCTGGCTGTACAACTTATTTCCCCTTGGCAAGTCAGTTAATTCACCAAGACTTGGCTTCCTCCTCTGTGGAATGAAAGGCCTGGCCAACATTTAGATGTGATAAAAAATTATTTATCACCTACTCTGACCCAGGCACTGTGCTAAATGGCCTCACATACTTCATTGTTTTCAACTACTGCTCTTATGTATTCCTCCACATTAAAATAACAAGGTTTTAGAGTTTTTGACTTTTTCATTTTCAAAGAAAATTGCCTCTACTGAAAAAAGTTAGTTTGTATTATATTCCCTACTAACCCTGCTAGCCAGCAGAGAACTTCGAAACTTTATTATGAAGTACGAATATGATCCAATGTGCCTAGGTGAAATTTACTTTACTCCCTTTTGAATTCACTTCCCATAGTTCAAGAGGATAAACTTTTAAGTGTCAAATGAGACAAGGATAAGCTTCAATTGCCTGAGCCATAGAATTCTGCCACTGACAAAATTCAGCTCCTGATAAATCCAACTCCGGTGTCTATGGAGGAAAAGCCTGCTTAGCAAGCCCCTGGCATGGAATTTCTTCCAGAAGTGCCTATATGTTGTTGTAGAGAAGGGCGGTAACTATGTGACTGAAATCATACAAATTTAACCCTGTTGGCTTCCCGAGGGTTTTCTCCAGGGAGATAGAATTCCAGCACAGCCTCTGGAAAGCTAACTATTTAAAAGAAAATAAATTGTTTTCTGGAGATAGTACATGAAATACAGTGATTGGAATAAACGGTGAAGACTTTGAGAGAATAAAAGGAGACAGTGATTAGGAATGTGAGCTTTGTTGCTTCTGGACAGTAGAACCACTTAGTTTTCTCTTTTTAGATTTATTTCTAATGTTCTTGTCTCCTTCAGTTTGTCTTTTTCTTCCCAGAGGCCTCAGTCTATATATTACTTATCCTTGTTTTTCTCTTGGACTGATGTTCCCTCTTCATTTTTTCTTTTTTTTTAAATTTGTAATACTTCTCTATTAGAATAGTAGTTTGTGTTCATTGAGAAAATAAAAAAACATAGATAAGCAAAAGAAAAACCATACACTCACACTTATAATCAACTCTTCTATAATCTACCACCCAGCTATCATTACCAACACAGTTAACATTTTATTGTGGACTTTTCTAGCGTTTGTTTTCAATGCAAATTTATACACAAGCAGAAAAACATAAGAAGAGAGTTAACAGATAGTTTAGGGAGTAAAAGATAACCTAAAACATAGGGAAAATATCCAAAGAGTATCCTTAGAGATATTTGAAAAGATATTAGATCCATAAGATAATAAAAATGTTGGAAATGAGCTATAATCAGAAGCAAGAACTTTGGAAAATTCAATTTATAATTGAATAAAACAGTACTTTAATGCAAGGTTAGGAAGATAGAGTTGAAAAATTATTTCAGAAAATTGAACCAAAAGACAAAGAGATAAAAATATGAAAAGAAACACGAGTCATCCAGAATGTCTAATGTTCTATGAATAGGAGTTTTAGAAAACGACAACAGAGAAAAGTCGTGGGTGGAAAATTATAAGAATCATTCATTCAGGAGTTCCTACTATGTCCTGAGCCATGTTCTAGCAATAAAGCAGTTCTGGAAACAAAGCAGTGAATTAAATAGTCAAAATTCCTGCCCTCATGGGGCCTGTATTAGTGGTGGTGGTGGTGGGGGAATAGCAAGAGTGGGGATAAAAAAAACTAACAAATCATTAAAATTTATTATATTCAGGCAGTGATGAGTAGTATTGAAAAATAAAGCAAGTGAGGAGATTAAGAGTGCTGGGTGAGGAGGAGGTAGAAGGATTACAAATTTTGAAAAACCATCATGGAATTCCTCATTGGGAAGATGGCCTTTGAAGTGAAAGAGATGTGAGAATGAAGCCTGCAGATACCTGAGGAAGGGAGACTTAGGTACAGGAATAGGCAAGTACAGAAGCTTTGGAGTGGGAGAGAGCCTGGCTTATGAGAGGGTAGCAGTGTGCAATGGAGTGAGTAAAGTGGAGGAAGTTATAAGACATAGGGTAATGAAGATGGAGATCTTAGAAGGCTTTATAGCCAGCGTATGGATTTATTTTAACTTTTAATCTAATAGAGATGAGGAATTATTCTATAGGTTTGAGTCCAATGACATTTTATATGATATTTTTAACAGGATCACTGCAGGAGAATAGACTTTAGGGAGATAAAAAGTGAAACCAATTGGAAGACCATGATAATAATATTGGTGAGAAATGGTGGTGGCCAGATCACCGTGTAGTAGAGGAGGAGGTTGGATTCTGGGTATATTTTGAAAGTAGATGCATTAGAATTTGCTGATAGACTGATTTTTACAGGCTGTGAAAGAATGACAAGTATCAGGAGAACTCCAAAATGTTGGTCTGAGCAACTGAATGATGGAGTTGATATTAACTGAGATGTGGAAGACCATAGAAGAAGTGGGTTTGTTTGTGGGTGATTAGGACTTCTTGAGCTTAAGATTCCTGCAAAAGACTTAAAATAGGCCTTCATTTTGCTTGCTTTGACTTTTGCCTCCTTTTCTTTATAGTTTCTCTTTTCCCTTTCTCTGCTCTTTTTCTATCTCCTCCTCTGAACCTTAACTGATATTAGACAGTTAACAAATGACTCACAAGATTCACAAAGAGCTCTCAAAAGAGAGCCTTGTGACAGGGTCTCGTTCTGTGCTCAGGCTAGGGTGCAGAGGCATCATCACAGTTCACTGCAGCCTCAACCTCCAAGGCTCAAGCCACCCTCCCATCACAGCATCCCTCGTAGCTGAGACTATAGGCATGCACCATCAAACTCAGCTAATTTTTCTTTGTTTCTTTCTCTTTTTCTTTCTCTTTCTTTTTTCTTTCTTTCTTTCTTTCTTTCTTTCTTTCTTTCTTTCTTTCTTTCTTTCTTTCTTTCTTTCTTTTCTTTCTTTCTCCTTTCTTGCTTCTTTCCTCTCTCTCTCTTTCTTCTTCTTTCTTTTTTTTTGTAGAGACAGGTTTTACCATGTTGCCCATGCTGGTCTCAAACTCCTGAACTCAAGTGATCCACCCACCTCAGCCTACTCCCAACAAAAAGCTGTCCCAAAGAGACTGTGTCAATGATTCTGAGTGAGAGGGATAAAAACTGAATATCCCCGCTATTGTAATTGCACATGGTATAGTAGTTATAGATAAAGAAAGTTGCAATGCAGTCACGTATTCTCCTCTTCTCCTCCACCTATGAACATTCTAACCTGCTCTAGCTCAGAGTCACATGGTCTTCAGGTGCTCCTGAAAAAGCATCAGCTTTTAGCCTCTATTTGAGTCCCTGTATTAGTCAGGGTTCCCTAGAGGGACAGAACTAATGGAATATATGTGTATTCCAATATATGTGCGTATATATACACACACATATATACACATATATGTGTATATATATATATATATATATATACATACACACATATATATGAGTTTATTAAGTGTTAACTCACATGATTACAAGGTCCCTCAATAGGCCATCTGCAGGCTGAGGAGCAAGGAGAGCCAGTCTAAGTTCCAAAACTGAAGAACTTGGAGTTTGATATTTGAGGGCAAGAAGCATCCAGCACAGGAGAAAGATGGAGGCTGGGAGGCTAGGCCAGTCTCTTTTTTCACATTTTTCTGATTGCTTTATATTTTAACCAGGTTGGAAGCTGATTAGATGGTACCCATCCAGATTAAGGGTGGGTCTGCCTTTCCCAGCCCACTGACTCAAATGTTAATCTCCTTTGGCAACACCCTCACAGACACACCCAAGATCAATATTTTATATCCTTCAATTCAATCAAGTTGACATTCAGTATTAACCATCACACTCCCTTTATAGTCTTTCCTTGGCATGCCTTTTAGACATCCAAGTGGATATGTGGAATGGAGTGGGGCAGGCTTTAAGATGTATGGATCTGGTGTTTAGGGGAGAAATCTGAATGGGAAATAAAAATCTAGAAGTTGTCAGCGTATACAGTACCTTTAAAGCCATGGTACTGAATGAGATCATTAAGAGAGTGGGCCTGCAAAGAGAAGAGGCCCAAGGACTGAAATTTGAGGCATTCAGCATTGACAGGGTAAGGAGATGAGCTAAGACTGGCAAATGATATTGAGAAGGATCAAGCAGTGGGTTTGGAGAAAAACATAGAGGATGTGGTGTCCTGGAAACCAAGAAAAGAAAGCATTTCAAGTAGGGAATGAACAACTGCTAAATATGGCTGATAGGTCATGTGAGAGTATATGGAATAACTGGCCAATGGATTTAACAGTGTCAAGGACATCCATGACACTGAGAAAAGCAATTTTGGAGGAGTGATGGTTCAAAGCACAATTGGCTGTGTTCAAAAGATACTAGAAGGAGAGAAAATGAAGACAGTGATTTTGGATAACTCTTTTGAGAAACATAGGTATACAGAGAGGCAGAGAAATGGCATTATAGATGAAGATATGGGATCAAGAGAGGCTTCTCTTTGTTTTCTTTTTTTCAAATGGGAGACAAATAACAATATACTTATAGACTGAAGACATAATTCAGTAGAGAAGAAAACATGATAATGTATAATAATGTAGAAGAGAGAGGTAAAAATTGTAGGAGAATGAATTCATACAAGTATAGAGTAGAAAAGCAATTGCCAGGGGTTTTAGGCGAAAGAAGGAAGGATGATTGGGGAGATGTTGGTTAAAGGATAAACTTCAGTTAGGAGAAATGAGTTCAAAAGATCTATTGTACAACATGGTGACTATAGTTAATAACAATGAATTGTATTCCTGAAAATTGCTGAGAGAATAGATTTTAAGTGTTCTCACCACAAAAAATAGTTTTTGTGAGGTAATGTATATGCTAATTAGCTTGATTAAGGCATTTCACAATGTTTACATATTTTAAAACAAGATGTTCACTATATATATATACATAATTTTGTCAATTAAAAAATTAAGAAATTTAAATTTAAAGAAAAGAAATGTCCTTGAGGAAGGAGATAAAATGAAATCTTCTGAACAATGAGAGGGTGACCTTAGCTGGGAGCTCAAACATTCTATTCATTGTAACAGAAAGGGAGGCAGTTTACAGGCACAGATGTTAGTAGGTTGGCAACTGTGGAGGAGGGAGCTTAAAGATGTTCCTTTTTGCTTCCTTCAATTTTCTCAGTGAACTGTCCAGCAGGAACACAAACTGACAGTAAAGGTGATTGTACAGAACTTGGTATATGGGCCGCCTCCAGATCCATGTTTTTTCTGTCTCTCTGGCCTAAGCAGCCCTAGCAAGGAGGTTCATTGTTTCCAAGGTCATTGCAATTGCTGCCAATGCTGCAGCTCACAGTTTGACATGATGACCCAATATGATAAGTCCATACCTCACACCTACCCCAAGAGCCTCTCATTACTGATCCTATGCTTTCCCCTTGGTATTCAGGAAGAAGACACCGTGGGATCAGCTTGATGTCCTTACATGTGCACTAGTTCATCCTGCTGTGACACATACTCTGGATGTGCTAATGCAGTATTGGATTGCATTCCCCATGGGCTGCTGGAGGAACTAAGGGTGCAACCTGGAAGTACAGGGGAGTTAATGTCCTGTAAGGAATATTCCAAGGGAGAAGGGAGCCAGCCCATAAATTCTCCTCCCTTCCTTCCTTGGCAATTCAGCATAATCAATCCACTATGCTTGTCACAAAGCTGTAGCCATGCCTGGTACATTTGCTTCCCTTGCCTTTCCTCTCATTTTTGCTTCCCAAGATTTTAATACTCAATAAAACATTAGCACTGTAATGTAAGCTGTTCCCTCCAGTTCTGTTTTCTGTAGAATCTGGGTTAAGATAGTGGTGAAAATATTGAGTGTTTGAAGAGGAAGTTAAAGTTTGAAAAATGTCGTCTTTAGAGAGCAGCAGGCACATGACCCAGGGAAATGTTGTGTGATGGCCTAGCAGCATTGTGGGTCCATCTGAGGGAAATGGTAATGAATTGAGTGAGAACAGTAGATAGAGTTTTCTGTTTTCTACAACTGCACCTAGCTGTGGAGTTGCAGTAGGTGAATAGTTGATTCTAATCAGGACTTTAGGCTGGAGAAGACAAGGTAGTTGAGAGTATATGTAAAGGAAGGAGTATAATGATCCATGATTAAATTTGAGCTAAGTAAGTGGCAGATCGGTGAGACAAAATCTGGATAACCCTGAGTGCTCATCTCCTGCCTCCTTTTGGGGGGTCCTACAGACAGCCGGCTCTGTGGGACTGAGCTAGAGGGTGGGATAAACAGTGAGGCTTTGGTGGGCATTCCCTGGACTATCTGTGTGCAGACCCTGGCCTTCAGAATGCACACTCTCTAGTGCTGTGCCTTAGCCTAGAGATCCCTTGAAAAATTTGTTTCTGAGATAAAATGCATATTCCCTACCACAATAACTAAAAAGAAAAACACATATATGAATTAGACATGGTTCCTACTGGAAAGTAGGGCTGGAATAAGGTATGACAATGGAATGATAGCTTTCAATTATAAGGTCTTCTTTAAGTTGTTATATATTTTTTCCCAGTGGAATTTCTTTGCTAAGATTTTAATTATTATAAATATATGTCTGGGTATAGGGGCTCATGCCTGTAATCCCAGCATTTTTGGAGTAGGCTGAGGTGGGTGGATCACTTGAGTCCAGCAGTTTGAGATGAGCATGGGCAACGTGGTAAAACCTGTCTCTACAAAAAAAAAGAAAGAATAAGAAGAAAGAAAGAGAGAGAAAGAGAGTGAGAGAGAGAGAGAAAAAAAAAAGAAAGAAAGAAGAAAAAGAAAGAAAAAGAAAGAAAGAAAGAAAGAAAGAAAGAAAGAAAGAAAGAAAGAAAGAAAGAAAAAGAAAAAAGAGAGAAAGAAACAAAGAGAAAGAAAAATTAGCTGAGTATGATGGTGCATGCCTACAGTCTCAGCTACTAGGGATGCTGTGATGGGAGGATGGCTTGAGCCTTGGAGGTTGAGGCTGCAGTGAACTGTAATGATGCCTCTGCACCCCAGCCTGAGCACAGAATGAGACCTTGTCACAAAATAAAAAATAAAATAAAATAAAATATAAAATAAATAGATAAAAACATAATAAAGTAAGAACAACTGTTGCTGATTTCTTACTCCTATTCATTCAATAAATATTGTATTAATTAACAAAGTTATTCTCCATGAAGTGTCCAGTGTAGGTGGTGGTCATTTGTTCAGAGATCACAGGTCAGGTGTGATGCCTGAAAGAAGAAACAGGAATTCATCTGAAGGATTCAGAGAGCACAGGCTGATGGTAAGGCTAGGCCCAGGGAGCCCACATTTATCCAGAAAGCCAGTGCTATGTTCTTCTTTCATGCAAGCATAAAGCATGGTTGTATCTGTCAGAGTGCAACTCACTTTTTTGCAACTCACCCTTCACAAATGTCAACATAATGAAGTAGATACTGTTAGTAGAAAAATCTTTTATTTCATAAGTTACATACATATTATAGCAAGATTCTAAAAAATAGCTATTATTTTGAATTCTAACTGTGTCTAATGGTTTCTAACCCAGGGCTAAATATTGACTTTTAGCTTTCTAGATATTTTTTGGTGAAGATATTACCAATTAAGGTCATTTTATTTTTTTAAATAAGCTTTTTGTTTTAGAATAGTCTTTGATTTACAGAAAATTTGTGAAAATGGTATAGAGAACTCTCATCTATCTTTATATCCAGTTGTTAACACCTTATTTTTAACACCTCATATTAGTAGAGTACATTTGTCATATCTAATGAACCAATATTGATATATTATTAACCCAAATGCATACTTTGTCCAGCTTTCTTAGTTTTTGTCTAGTATTCATCTCCTGTCCCAGGATCCCACCTGGGGTACCAAATTACATTTAGTCCTCATGTTTCCTTAGACTCCACTGGACTGTGGCAGTTTCTTAAACTTTCCTTGCTTTTGAAGATCTTGATAGTTTTGAGGACTGCTACTCAGGAATTTTGTAGCATGTTCCTCAATTGAGATTTGTCTGATGTCTTTCTCATAACTAGTGTGCGGGGTTATGGGTTTTTGGGAGGAAGGCCAAAGATGTCTTCTCATTACTTTGTTTCAAGTCGTGCTGTCAACCTGACTTTTCACTGTTGATGCTAACCACAGTTGTATGGCTGAGATAGAGTTTGTGTTCACACTTCAGGAGTAGAAAGTTATATTTCACCTTCTTGGTGAAATATCTACAAAAATGATTTAGAATTTTTCTTCACAGGAAACTTGTCTATTCCCATCTACTTATTTATTCAATATTTTATTTCTACCAGTATTGACTTATAGAGCTTATAACCTAGGTTATATATCTAATACTATTTAATTTTGTTGTTTCAATCATTCCAGCTTTGGCCAGTGGGAGCTCTTTTACTTGACTCTTCTGTTTCTGTCCTCTGACTCTGACTCCTATCTCCTTGTTTTTGGAATGCTTCTTACTTTCTGGAATATTACAAGATGTATAAAGTTAACTGTAGGTTTTCCATATGTACCTTTTATGAAGTTAAGGAATTTCTTTCTATTCATAGTGTGTGTTTTTTTTAATTAGAATTTATTTTTAGGGCAGTTTTAGGTTTACAGAAAATTGATCAGAAATTAAACCGAATTCCTATATTCTCCTTCCCCTCATACACATTTTCTCCTAATATTTTACATAAATGTGATATATTTTTTATAACTAAGGAACCAATATAGATATGTTGTCATTAACTGTAGTCCACATGTACAACCCAAAGAGTGAGACCCACTAAGTCTCACTCTTTGGGTTGTATAGTTCTATAGCTTTTCACAAATGCATAATGACATGTGTCCACCATTAAAATTTCATACAGAATAGTTTCACCTCCCTTAAAATTCTCTGCTCTTCATTTATCTAAGTTTACTTTTATATAACATTACACTGTTTTATATGTAGTACAGGTACCTTAATACAGAATATTTCCAATTCTTTCTCACCTCTTGTGGCGTGGATGCTACAGTTGTTGAATAAGTATATTGTTACTATTTTTGCTTTAAACAAATAGTTATATTTTAGACAAATTAAACTTATAAAAATAAAAGATTTTATTTTACCTTTTGTCGTTCCCTCTGTAATGCTCTGACTTTATTTATTTATTTATTTTTTGAAGATCTGTGTTTTATAACCAATGATGTTTTTTTCTAATTAGAATTTCTGTTAACTTTTTTTTTTCAAAGTAGGCCTTCTGGCAATGAATTCCCTCAGTCTGTATTTTTTCTTTTCCATTAAAGGATAATTTTGATGGATATGGAATTCTAAGTTGGTTCCTTCCTCTCAATACATTAAATATTTATTTCCATTTTTTTCTTGTTTATATGGTTACTGGTGAGAAGACTATTTTAATTCCTACCTTTGTTCCTCTATGGGTAAGAGCTATTTTTTCCTCTTGCTGTCCTCTTTTTTTTCTTTAATTTTTTGATTCGGTGTGTGTTTGGGGGGGGGGATATTTTATTTATTTATTTTTGGTAGACACCCTGGTTTGTGTCTTAGAGCTTCTTGAATCTGTGGTTTTGTGTCCATCATTAGTTTTTAAAACTTCTCAGATTCTTCATTCTTTCCTCTTGAATGGCATTTCAAAGATGCATATATTATATCTTTTAATATTGTCCTGCATTTGTTGAATGGATGTTGTATTATTGTTTATTGATTTATTCTTTCTCTCTGCATTTCAATTTAGGAAGTTTTTATTGACCTATTTTCAAGTTCATTAATTCTTTCCTCAGCTGTGTTAAATCTCCTTATGTGTCTGTCAAAGGTACATTTCATTTCTGCTATTGTGTTTTAAATTTCTAGTACAGGCATACTTTATCTTATTGTGCTTCAATTTATTGTACTTAGCAGTTATTGCATTGTTTACAGATTGAAGGATTTTAGTAACTCTGTGTTGAGCCAGTTTATTGGTGTCAGTTTTCCAACAGCATGTGCTCACTTCATCTGTGTCACATTTTGGTAATTCTCTCAATATTTCAAAATTTGTCATTATCATTATATGTGTTAGGATAATCTGTGATCAAAGATCTTTGATGTTGCTATTGTAAAATGTTCTGGGACACCAAAAAGCACATCTATGTAAGACAGTGAACTTGATCAATAACGTATGCTTTCTAACTGTCCCACCAGAAAGATTCCCCATCTTTTTCCCTCTGCTCGGCCTCACTATTTCTTGAGACACAACAATACGGAAATTAGGCCAACTAATACTGTATAATGGCCTCTAAGTGTTCAAGTGAGAGGAGGGGTCACCTCCTGGGGCAAGAGGTCTACCTTAAGAAGAGTTTGGAAAAAGTTGATTCTAATCTTCATGGATGACTTTGAGAGATTCAATACTTCAGTGGAGAAAGTCATTACAGATGTGAAAATAGCAAGAGAGCTAGAAGTAGAGGTGGAGCCTGAAGTTAAGAGTCAGTTATTGTAATCTTATGATAAAACTTGAAAGGAGGAGGAATTGCTTCTTATAGATGAGCAAAGAAAGTGTGTTCTTGAGATAGAATCTACTCAAGATGCTGTGAACGGTATTGGAATGACAACAAAGAATTTAGAATATTACATAAACTTAGTTGATAAAGCAGTAGAAGGATTTGAGAGAATTGACTCCAATTTTGAAAGAAGTTCTACGACGAGTAAAATGCTATTAAACAACATCACATGCTACAGAGAAATCTTTCCTTAGAGGAAGAGTCAATCAACATGTAAAACATTACTGTTGTCTTATTTTAAGACATTGCCACAGCTACCCGAACTTTTAGCAACTACCACATTGATCAGTCAGCAACCATCAGTATGGAGGCAAGACCTCCACCAGCAAAAAGATTATGACTTGCTGAAGGCTCAGATGATCATTAGCATTTTTAGCAATAAAGTGTGTGTGTTTTTTTTTTACAATAAAGTCTTTTTAAATTAAAGTACTTTTTGTGGACATAATTCTTATTGCACACTGAATAGAGTACAGTATAATGTAAATGTAACTTTTATATGTACTGAGAAACCAAAATATTCATGTGACTCACTCTATTGTGATATTTACTTTATTGTGGTGGTCTAGAGCTGAACCCACAGTATCTCCAAGATATGCCTGTATTTCTTTTTGATTATTCTTTAGATTTTTTTATCTCTCTGCTTATGTTACCTATTTATTCCTGAATCTTGTCTACTTTTTCCATTAGAGCCCTTAACATATTAAATATAGTTATTTTAAATTCCCTCTCTGATAATTCCAATATTTATCTTTTACTTGAATTTATTTATCTATTTATTCTTAAGTTGTTTATTTTTAAATGTTGTGGGTACATAGTAAATGTATGTATTTATGGGGTACGTGAGATATTGATGTAAGCATGCAATACATAATAATCACATAATGAAAACTGGGGTATCCCTCCTCTCAAACATTTATTCTTTATGTTACAAAGAATCCAATGATACTATTTCGGTTATTTTTAAATGTACAATTAAATTATTATTGACTATAGTCACTCTGTTGTGCTATCAAATACTAGTTCTTCTTCTTTCTAATTTTTTTGTACCCATTAACCATCCCCATCTCCCCTCCACTCTCCCTAGCTGCCACCCCCGGCCTGTGATAACCTTCCTTCTACTGTCTATCTCCATGAGTTCAATTGGTTTGATTTTTAGACCCCACAATAAATGAGAACATGCAACGTTTGTCTTTTTGTGTCTAGCTTATTTCACTTAACATAACAACCACCAATTCCATCTATGTTGTGGCAAAAGACAGGATCTCATTCTTTGTTATCGCTGAATAGTACTTCATTGTGTATATGTACCACATTTTCTTTATCCATTCATCTGTTGATGTACAATTAGGTTGCTCCCAAATCTTGGCTACTGTGAACAGTGCTGCAACAAGCATAGGAATGCAGATATCTCTTTGATATATTGATTTCCTTTGAGTATATATCTAGCAGTGGGATTGGTGGATCATATTCATATGGTAGCTCAATTTTTAGTTTTTTGAGGAATCTCCAAACTGTTTTCCACTGTGGTTTACTAACTTACGTTCCTTCCAACAGTGTACAAGAGTTCCCTTTTCTCCATATCCTCATCAGCATTTGTTACTGTCTGTTGATATGGTTTGGTTGTGTCTCCACCCGAATCTCAACTTAAATTGTAGCTCCCAGAATTCCCATGTGTTGTGGGAGGGACCCAGGGGGAGGTAATTGAATCATGGGGGCTGGTCTTTTCCGTGCTATTCTCATGATAGTGAATAAGGCTCACAAGATCTGATGGGTTTATCAGGGGTTTCCACTTTGGCTTCTCTTTCATTCTTTCTTGCTGTTGCCATGTAAGAAGTGCCTTTTGCCTCCCGCCATGATTCTGAGGCCTCCCCAACCATGTGAAACTGTAAGTCCAATTAAACCTCTTTTTCTTCCCAGTCTTGGGTAGGTCTTTATCAGCAGCATGAAAATGGAATAATACAGCTGTCTTTTGGATAAAAGCCATTTTAACTTGGATGAAATGATATCTCATAGTAGTTTTGATTTGCATTTCTCTGATGATCAGTGATGTTAAGCACCTTTTCATATGCCAGTTTGCCATCTGTATGTCTTCTTTTGAGAAATGTCTGTTCAAATCATCTCCCCATAATAAAGTGGATTATTAGATGTTTCTTCCTATAGAGTTGTTTGAGCTCCTTATATATTCTGGTCATTAGTCCTTAGTCAGATGGGTAGTTTGCAAATATTTTCTCTTATTCTGTGGGTTGTCTCTTCACTTTGTTGATTGTTTCTTTTCCTCTGCATAAGCTTTTTAACTAGATGTGATCCCATTTGTCCCTCTTTGCTTTGGTTGCCTGTGCTAATAGGGTATTAGTCAAATTTTTGCCCAGACTAATGTCCTGGAGAGTTTCCCCAATGTTTTCTTGTAGTAGTTTCAGAGTTTGAGGTCTTAGGTTTAAGTCTTTAATTAATTCTGATTTGATTTTTGTATATGGTGACAGATAGGTGTCTAGTTTCATTCTACTGCATTTGCATATCCAGTTTTCCCAGCACTATTTATTGAAGAGAATGTCTTTTTCCAATGTATGTTCTTGGCACTATTGTCGAAAATGAGTTCACTGTAGGTGAGTGGATTTGTTTTTGGGTTCTCTATTCTGCTCCATTGGTCTATGTGTCTGTTTTTGTGCCAGTACCATGCTGTTTTGATTGCTGTAGTTCTGTAGTATAATTTGAAGACAAGTAATGTGATTCCTCCAGTTTTGTTCTTTTTGCTCAGAATAGCTTTGGTTATTCTGGGCCTATTGTGGTTCCATATAGATTTTAGAACCATTTTTTTTCTATTTCTGTAAAGAATGTCATTGGCATTATGACAGCAATTGTGTTGAATCTGTATGGACGTTTTAATAAGATTGGGTACTACAGATATTTTAATAAAATTGATTCTTCCAGTCAATTGAACATGAAATATCTTTCCGATTTTTGAGTTCTCTTCAACTTCATTCATCAATATTTACAGTTTTCATTACAGAGATATTTCATTTCTTTGGTTAAGTTTATTCCTAGGTATTTTATTTTATTTACAGCTATTGTAAATGGTATTACTGTTTTGATTTCCTTTTCAGATTGCCCACTGTTGGCATGTAGAAATGCTACTGATTTTTGTATGTTGATTGTTCAACCTAATTTTTGGTTCTTGTGACAGTGCTTTTCTGTGTGCAATAGTTGTTAACATTTGGTGTTCCTACAGCAGGGATGAACTGTGTAGGCTTCTATTCCACCATCTTGCTCTGCCTTCCTTATCTAGTGCTTGCTTTGTCCTTTCAGGTTGTTTTTTCTTGCCTTTTGGCATAACTTGTAATTTTTTGTTGAATTTGGATATGCTGCATTGGGTAATAGTAACTAAGGTAAATAGGCATTTAATGTGACAGTTTATGTTAATTTGGTTAGGATTTAAGCTGTGTTTAATGTTTATTGTAGCTGTAGATACTAGAGGCTTAAAACTCCTTTAGTGTCTTTGTTTTTGTCTTCCCTTTTAGCTTTGGAGTTTTCCTATGCATTGCTCTAGGAGAGAGTCTGTGCTTTGCAGCTCTTTCAGCCAGTCCAGTGTTATTAAACTGGAGCATAGTTAGTATGACCATAGCGTGGTGGGAGGGGCATTCTATGTTGTAATTAAGACTCAGTCTTTTAGTGCGCCTGTGTCACCGAGCTGTAGCCTACATAACAATTTCTATCCCTCTTCCAGTGGTGTGGTGTTTTTCTCTTTTTTCCTACTGCACTGTTCCTAATAAATATATTCCCCTGAAGCCCTATCTCCTGTTTACTACTTTTTAGTCTTACCCCTCAAATGAGAATCATCTGGAGTGGGGCAAAGTGGGTACTTAATTTTCTTCTCCCAGCTAGGATAAAGTTTCAGAATTGTGCTATGGCGATGTCCTTTTCTCTGGAGAGTAGGCCTTGGTTATGGAGAAGGCTCCTCGTATAGCTCACAGTCTTTTTCAGATCCTCCCCGTGAGAAGCTTAGAAGTTTCCCTTATGAGGGAAAACCTAGGAAAATGTGAGACTCTCTTAAGACTGGACCCCCAGGAGTTTCTCATTTTCACCTTAGTCCACATTCAGCAATTTGTCAAATTTACCATTGAAATGTTCTGACTAGCTTATGGCTGTAGTAGCTCCTGTTCTAGAGAAGTGTATTTCAGTCTTGTATTTCTCTTGGATGCACATTCCTCTTCAAATTTTGAGGCAGCAATTTGTCCTGGAACCTTAGATCTCTGAGGGGTTAAACTAAAGTTATTGATTTTTAGATTTTCTAGTTTTTGTTGTTGTTGTTGTTGCTGTAAGGATGAGTGAGAGTGACAGCTTTCAAGATCTTTACGTATTAAAGCTAAAACCAGAAATTTCTCTCAACTCTCTTTCTAATTATAAAAGTATAGTTGACTTAAGAAAGGAAACGTCTGGACAAAAAAAAACAATTATCTAGAATTTATTCCAAAATTACGTAGGTGAACAAACAGTTCCTTAGCCCTTTATGTGAACTGTTTGGGAATTGTTTACCAAGCTCTGTATTTGAGGTGCTCCCAGGTTATATAGCATGGCCAATTTCTAGGTAGACTTTAGCTCACTGAGAAGTTATGGATATGGTTGTGGTTATGGTTATGGTAATGGTTAGAAAAGAAGTGGCATCTGAGCATGCAAGTCTCTCTACTTTTGTTGACATATTGGCAAATATAGATATTTGACCTTGGCCTTTTTCTTATGTCTCCTCACAGCTTTTTTCTGTCTAATATTAAATATAGATCCTAATATATATTTCTACAAGGAGCAAATAAACATTCATGTATGAATGAGTAAAGATGTTATAGCTACTATTATACCAGTAGCTTCACTTTGCTATTTTTACATAAAACTTGAATGCTGATATTGCTATAAATAGCAGCTACAAATGAATTTTGGGTGCATTGTTGGCAGGTTTCTGGTATACAAATGAACATGACTTGCAAATAACAATTTTACAGTTTCCACATATGGAAATTCAGTTCTGTGTATAATATTCTGCTTCAAGGTTTAGAGCGAGTATGCAGAGCAATGCTCATTCACACAACTTTGAAAAATGTGTTTGCATAGCTATTTTGATTTCTTTTGTGGAGGAGTCCCAGTTGCATCAAGAGTTATACTGTGCCTAGAGTTCAAGGTTATTGTGCTCAAACGGTTCAGGACAAACTTGGATCCAATTCAATTCTATGTGGGCTTTTCTGGTAGTCCTTTGTCACAGCATTCAAAGTAGAAGTTTCTTTTACATGTGAGTTTCAAGGCTTGGCATCCCATATCTCTGACTCATTTCTGGAGAGCAACTGCTCAGCCTCAGACTACATTTCTCAGATCCTATTGTTACTATGTGGTGCCATGTAACAGGTGCTTCACAATGAAATGTAAACAAAAATGATGTGGGTCACTTCTGAACCCCATGAAGGTTCTCACTACATACTTTCTTTCCTTTTCCACTTCTTGAATGCAGAGTATTCAAAGCACTGTAAGATAGTTGTGCCGAAAGATGGTAGGAGTATCATTCTCTGAAACCAAGAAATGGAGGAAAGCTGCCCACCAACTAGAAGCACTATATTGCTTCTTTATATAAGTCAATAAACTTCATTGTGTTAAGCCACTGATATAGTTTATATGCTAGCAGTTAGCATTAACCTATAGAAATTATTAGTGAAAATGATAAGCTGCTGCAGCAGTTAGTGGCAATATTCCACTTGTAGTCCACGGAAATAAACCATTTAAAGCATGTTGTCCTTGATTTCTAGCTACCAGCATCTACATTTCTTTGCATGAAGATAAAGACATTTGTGCCCACACCTATGGCAGGCTGGGCATCAGACAGAATTAGTTGAAGTCCCAGGAGACTTCAACCAATGGATGGTGAGAATTGGTCTATAAATGCATACATATTTTTTTTTCTGGTGGAGTTTGTACAAAATTCATTTGGCTGTGCCAGAAATTCCATGTTCATCCTTGTTTAGTGTAGAGTTATTACTCCCTTTGCCCTCCTTGTAGTGGGTTGTAGAGATCTCTGTGTCCCTAGAGGATAACAGAGCAACACAGTGGAAAGAACCTGAGTCTGTGTGTCACCATGCTGAAGTAAGCCACCTGACTGAGCAAGGGACAAACTTATTTGAGGTTAAGCCTCTAAAATTTCAGGAGTTTATTTCTTATAGTAGTTTGTGTTGCATTAACTAATAATAGAGGTAAACTAAAGAGATCATATTCAAGAAAGAGAATAATACCAAAGATCAGCCAGGAAAGCATGTCTATTAATCACCAACCAATGGCAGAAAATATTAGGACCCAAATTACTGAAGAAAACAGAGGGTTGGAGAATTAGGGAAGATGCAAGTAATATGTGGTAGGTTAGAACAAGCAAGTAGAAATAGGTTTGGACTAATGCCAGATAAATATTTTTTTTCTGTGAAAGTTTTTTATGTTCTCCTGCCTGCAGGTTGTATGAAAACACTGGGTTCATGGAACAGGGCTAGCCTGAGATGAACCATTTACTTGAGATCTGACCTTTGTGATCTTTTTAAGAGAGCTGATTGGAAAGGCTACAATAGGGATCTGTCATTCTCATAAACTCTACAATGTGATTTAGTATTATAGGGTTTCAGCAAAAGCTATAAAAAGACAAAAAATCCCATTGAGGACATTAAGCCTAAACTATTGCTCAGTATAAAAATATTTTTTGTGATATTCCAGAAGATTAAGCATAGAATTTCTCTCGAAGTTTTCCAATGCCTAGAGAACTAATGACCTCATGATGCATCCAGTTCCATAGTTGGCTAGGACTAATTGCTAAAGAAGACCAAAGTGTTAATTCATTTTGATTATGTAACCTCCTGGTTTATTCTTTGGGCTTCCATTCTTTTTAGGTAAGTTCTTTCTTTGTCTAGGCCTCCAAAAGTTGCTATTCTTCAGTAACCTAGTGAGGTTCTACTCTTATCACTTTACTTTCTCCCTGTGTGAGCTCAGGTTCCCACTGCAATCCACATGCTCATAATCTCAAATAAATGCAACCAGTTAAGTGGCCTGTCCTGAGTTTACATTCGTCTTTCCATTTGTCCACTGCCCATTTCCATGATCATGTGCTATGGGCACTTCAATCTCAGTGTACTAAGCTTAATTCCTCTGCTGCTCCTGAAAAACCTCTCCTCCTTCCGTGTTTCCTGTCTCAGTGAATGGCTTATAGTTCTGTCTCCTAAATAGTTCATAAATTAAAGCAATTTACCCTCACACTAGTGGTGATATTTTAATATAGGTCAGAACTGTCTCTTGGCTAGATTATTACAAATTCTTCAAAAACGTTCTCCATTTTTCCAATCTTGCTTTTCCAATCTATTGTCTAGGTAGCAGGCACAACGATATTTCTGACTTGTGTTTGATTATGTCACTTCTCTGCTTGAAAAATCCCTTCAGAGCTTCTTAGAATAAGAGCCTAAATCTTTAACAAGATTTATACTCCACAATCTTCCTCGTGTTTACATTGAGGCTCAACTTTTAAACTGCTTGCTTATATTCTGTAGTCTGTCTTTGGACTTCTTTTGATTTCTCAAATATTCAAATATATTCCTTTTTTATGTCTTCCTAGAATACTTTCCCTACCTTGTCTTAACTTCATCATTTTACCTCCTATCTATCTTTTACATCTTGGCTTAGATATGTTCTGGAAAGACTTAACTGACTACCAAAAACAAAATAAAACAAAACAAAAGCCTGAATTACTAGTGTCCTCACATGCCCTTGTAGTTTCCATATTATAACAATTGTATAAGTGTTTTTTTAATCAAATGGGATCATATATGTCATAAAACAATTAAATTTCTTTCATTTGACAATATATCACAGACATATTTTCATGTCAGTGTAAATACAATGTCATTTTTCTAAGTCTCTGTAGCTTTCCATTTTAGTGATATAACAACATTTATTTAACCTTTACCCTATTGGTTGATGTTCAGTAATCAATACTTCCAAATTATAGGTTTCAATCAGTGGAAAAATAAATATACAAAAATTTTCTTACCATGAGATATATGTAGGTATGTCTTTACTAACATTATGAATTCTCAAAATGATATATAAATCTTGAATTCAACGTATCTTCTCATTTCTGGGTTTTAGCCATCTGTAGTTTCCTAAACTTTTTCATGAATCTGCAATTAACATCACTTAATCCAAACCTAGTGATTTTCCACTGTCCTACCCCGAATCTCTGAGAAAAAGTTAAACAAGCTCCAGGTATGGGGTTAATCTGTGTGATGTAGAGTGATGACAGTATACCCAGAAAGTTACCTTTGGAAGGCAAATAGAATGTCTTTCTCTATCTCTACCTAACTCCCTGTTCTTCTATATAAGGAGCTTATAATCTACCTGGGATGGCTATAAATTATATACTTAAAATGATAATTCATTCTATAGAAAATCAAATATGTGATAAAGAACGCAAAGGCTTAATGAAAGAAAGACTGTATTTTAAGCCAAAATATTTAGGAAAGTTCCCATAGTATAACAGTTTAAAGAAAGATTGTGTCTAGCACAAAAAGGAAAGCTTTATTTGGGCTTCAGTAACTGTCTTCAAACACCTGAAATGTTCTCAGAGTTTGTTAGCTTCAAGCAATCAGTTTTTCTCTGCTGTTACCTGTTTGCTTAATCTCAGTGAAACTTCTAAGAAATACATCACCAAATGATAATGTCTTAGTCTGTTTGAGCTGCTATAACAAAATAGACTGTGAAGCTTATAAAAATAGGAAGTTATCTCCTACAGTTCTGTAAGCTGGGAAGTCTGAGATCAAATCAAGGCACTGGCAGATTTGGTGTCTGGTGAGCACCCATTTCCCAGTTCATAAATGGTGCCTCCTTGCCATATCCTTCTGCAGTGGAAGGGGAAAAAAGAGCTATCTTTGACTTCTTTTATAAGGGTACTAATCCCATTCATGAGGACTCCACCCGCATGACCTAATCATCTCCCAAAGGTCCCACCTCCTAATACCATCGCTTCAGGGATTAGGATTTTAACATGTGAACTGGGTTGGCAAGAAGGGTAGGGGGGTGCCACACATTCTGACCATGGATGAATTGTGTGTTTGCCAAATGGTGATTACAGATCATTACAATGCATTAGGTTTTAGTATACTTAATTTATATATTTTCTTTGCAAAAGTGCTACTTTAATGTGTACTAGAACTGTGTATAAATTAACATCTAATGAAATTGTTCCATTACAGCCTATTTGAATACATACATATATATATATATACACATATTTTTTTTTTTTTTTTTTTTTTTTCCGAGACAAGGTCTCGCTCTGTCATCCAGGCTGGAGTGCAATGGCGCGATCTTGGCTCACTGCAACCTCTGCCTCCCAGGCTCAAGCAATTCTCCCTCCTCAGCCTCCCGAGTAGATAGTACAACAGGTTCCTGCCACCATGCCAGATTAATTTTTGTATTTTTGGTACAGACGGGGTTTCACCATGCTGCCCAGGCTAGTCTCAAACCCCTGGCCTCATATGATCCACCTGCCCCAGCCTTCCAAAGTGCTGGGATTATAGGCGTGAGCCACCGTGCCTGGCCTGGATATTTTCACTGTTAAATTCTTAGGCCAAAAGGGCTCTTTTCATTCTTTCCTACTCAGTCTGATCAATGATGAAGGCAATTTCCGGACATATGTTTTATGGTTAGTTGAAACTGAACCAAATTAGACAAGTTTCCTAAGTTATGATCAGTAATACAAAAATAACTATTCTAGTCAAGTAGAATTTGGTGGGAAAATTCTCCAACCTGAAAAGTACCTAAAAACCAAACCGTAAGAACATCATATCTGACCAAATCCCACAGGGAGTTGGATTTCATGTGGCTTTTATGAACGTTTTGCTTTGAGTTCTATGAATTGCTCAGATATAGTATATACAACCACAACAATCTAAATGTTTCATTTAAATCATCCAGTTTAACCATTGCTATTATGTAAATTTTCAGATAATTAATTGACAGTCCCCGAAGACTTCATTTTGCACTGCATCAACCTGATTTCTTCAGAATTGCAGCTAGTTCTTTCATAGTTTTTAAAGCAGTCTCACCTAACTTTCATGTAGGAATTTATAAGCATATATATATATATATATATATATATATATATTCTAGATTAACCATCTTTTTATGATCAATGCAACACTTTAAACAGGTAGCTAATTAAATGCCCTAGACATACATACACTGAGAAAGCACACTCCTATAGCCCTAGGACAGACGCTGAATACCTTACTACCTCTGGCAAATAAGGAAAATAATGAACCTGCTCTGAAAGCCATACCCATGGGTAAGCTGCAAGGCATGCTTCATAAGGGTTAACTCTCCAGTGAATGCCAGGCTGTATTCAGCCTTCAACAAGATGTCTGTGCGTTTAGCTCTTATGTAGGCATACTCCAGTCTTCAGAAAGGTGAAACTGGGCTGAGAGGATGTCTTGCACCACTGTTTGAGCAGGATGGAAGGCAAGATGGGTCTTTTCAAGTGTGTGCTGTAAGCCCGAAGGAAGAATAGCAACGTCCTTGGTGCCTTCCAAGGAGATGCGAGCCTGGCTGAATAATCAGTGTGCAGAAACCAAAACCCTGCAACTTACCAGGCAAAGGGACATGAAGGCTAGAGTTGCTGTGATGATGCAAATGAAGGGCAAAATGGTACAAATTCCTGTCTCCCAGAAGGTGTAATTAGGGAGCTACGGTAGAAAAACAGCAATCTCTAGAAATGCAGAGCAGATGCATATGCAGACTACCTCAGGCCTGGGTTAACAGTTAAAAGATATTGACGATTTTCATTTCTTGCCTTCATTTTATGTAAAAATTTGCCTGAGTTCCAATTGATAATACTAATAACAGATCACAAAATAGACACAGCACAATGTTAAAGCAGAAGCCATGCACACAAAGCACTTAAAACATCTGAGCCAAAGGAAACCTGGGCCAAATATGAAAAACATATCTATGATAATCAATCTAAAATTATGCACATAAAATCTCAGTTTAGATCATGTGAACTATTTGACATTCTAGCCATAAGAAACGCCAAGTTACTTCTAAATGCTTTGCTTTGATAACACAATAATAAATTCTACTTCTATTCTACTCCCATTTAAATCGTATTTATGCTGTATGGCATTTATAAATGGGCATGTACAGTGCACACATGTTGGGCAGTTGCCATGGTGTTTTTTCTTACCATTGGAAGTTATTCCAGTAGCTTCAGCATAGGGTCAATGAGATAGTTTGCTTTGCAGGGACATCAGTATTGGAGACCTGCAAAGCACTTTTCTCATGTACAAACACCGAGAACATTTCAGTTGTTTTATGAGTCTGCATTAGCCAATAAAACTCTTAATTTAGCCTAGTGTTGTTGGTGAGATGGTCTTATCTCTTCTTGATACTGTTTAAGTTGCCTTCAGTTTTCTTCATGTTAGATGATGGTTTTCCTCTTTATACACTTGGCTAATTAAAATAACAAATCTTCACAGCCGTCTTTTTGGAATTCCTTCTTATCACTCTAAACTAATTAAACTGGAGGGGAGAAAAAGAACCTGCTGCAACCTAGTAGCAAATCTTCAAGTATCAACTATACTTAGTATCCTCTATAAAATAAAAATATTTTATCTTGGACAACTCTCTTCTTCATGGCTAATACATTGTCCCTTGTAATACTCAATCCTTTTCTATTCCATTTCCAAGTGGAGAAACTTCTGTGTCTCTGTTTCCAAGTGGGCATCAGGAAGAACAGAATACATTTTGCAGAACTCTCAGAGAATGGAATCAATCTTAAATCCAATGTCTACACTCTGAAAGATAATCAGTATGAAAACAAGGAAATATTGAATGGCCAATAGGAAAAAAAAATCTGAAAAGGCAAACTTTAGCATGTGAAAGTCATGGGCAGTCAGGAAATGTTATAAAAAGTGAAGTTCCCTTGTCTGATGGAGCTATCATTCTCTTATTCTGGCTGTGGCGATATGGAGCTTCTTTAATGGTTAAGATTCATGTACATTTATATTTGCTTGGGACATTTTAGATGTGGCCTGAAATAACTTCTCAAGTTTCCTTCCAACCATTTGATACTGAAATATTTAGCAACTTTGAATACCACATTTTTTCACTCTCTGGAACCTCAAATTATAACTCCATGTCAAAAAATATGAATAGGGAGATGAGGTTAATCTTGGCATCAGATATATTATTAGTCTTTCTATTTATTTGAACTATATACAATAATTGTGCTATATCTTAATTTACATAATATATTGTATTTTCTTATAGAATCTTGCCTTATGGATATTCTAAATTAACCAGACTGATCTGCAGTCTCCCTCAGTTTTATTTCTGAAGAGTTTAAGATCAAGCACATCGAATGTGAACAATAAAGCCTAACTAAATAGTTAGAGATTAAGTAAATTAATTGCTGGATTTAAAATTCAGTGAACAACTGATTTCTTTACTGTATAATTTGTTCCATGAGGCACTCAGAGAGGAATCCATAAAGGAGTTAATTTTCAAGGATTCCAGTGCCCAGAGCATATTGGAGTTAAGTGATTACTATGAGGCACATTTGGTAGAAGAATGGGCAGAATGATGAATTACCATCTGAGGACATTTAAATCGAGGAAAATAGCAAACTGAAAGAGAAAACTAAAGCAAAAGTGGCCTGGCAGATTTCAAATGGGGTACTCTTAAGTTCTCTAACCTAGGTCAGTCCAAGGCTGCTCAGCAGAATGGAACTAGCACCACACAATTGGTTCTGACCTTAAAATCTACCTTTCTTCCATTCAGGTACACATTTGGGAAGATGGGGTTGAAAAGACTAAAAACTCACATTTATTGGGTATTTTATGTACCATCCATTATTCTAAGTGCTTTATGTGTGTTAACTCACTACCATCAAAACAACTCAATGAGGCAGGCACTGTTATTAGCCTCATTTTATAGACAAGGAAGCTGAAACAGAAAGAGGTAAATAACTTGCCCAAAGTCACACAGCTCACCAGTGGTAGAGCCAGAATTTGACCTCAGGAAGACTGGCTCCAGAACTCACACTCTTAAATATGTTCTAAAGTGGATCTGTAGGAAGGGAGTGCCATCATTTTATTTAGTACTTTTAGGATAATTCCTAAGTTGTCTATAATTCCTGTAAGGTATCAAGAAACTATCAAGTCCATAAATCCTCAAGTCATTTAGGACTATTAGAATTAGCATGAATCCTTTAATATAGAGTTAAAATTAATTTTTGAAGATTTTATCCAAGAAGTCTAGCTTACCATAAATGTTGACTTGAAATAAACAGAAAAAATTACTCCAATTACTAATCCATTTCAAAATATATAACAATACTTACCAACAAACAGTTCAAAACAAAAATATTAAACTTTTATTCATTGTACATGAAGGTGGAGTTTCAAAACTTTTATCAAAGATAGGGGAAAGTAGAAGGTATATTTAAGCTAGGGCTGTTTGAAATTTCTTCACATATAGAATGGTTACTCAGTAAAGCATTGTTGAAAGAATGACTCTAAAATGAACTAATATATTCCTCATGTCTTCGTCTGCTTGTGCTGTTATAACAGAACACCATAGACTGGGTGTCTTATAAACAACAGAAACTTACTTCTCACAGTTATGGAGGTTGGGAATTCCTGGATCAAAGTGCCAGCAGACTCACTATAGGGTGAGGGCCAGTTTTCGGGTTCAAAGATGGTGTTCTTCTTGCTGTGTCCTCAAATGGTAGAAAGAACTCTTTGGAGTCCCATTTATAAGGGTACTAATCCCATTCACTAGGGCTCTGTCCTCAGGACTTAATCACCAGCTAAATTTCCCCACCTCCAAATCACACTGGAGATTACATTTCAACATACAAATTCTGAGGAGACATAAACATTCAGTCTATAACACCTGCCTTTTGGAAAGATGTTCTCCAGGGGCTCATTCTTTTAATGAAACCTGGTATTTATAATCAATCCATGTGATGTCTTCTGAATCCCAGACAATATAATACCTTCAGACCCTAGATCTTCAATTAAGTCTTTTTTTCTTTATTTTTTATTTGATTTTGATCTGTTATAAGCAACAAGCTCTCCCAGGACATGCTATTACTTCATAATTACAAGTAGAATACTAGCCCTATGTTACTGATTTAATAGTATGTTTCTCAAGAAAAGCTGCAGCTTTAAAAATTTGGATTTCTCCTGACAAAAACAATAATGGGGAAAGGATTCCCTATTTAATAAATGGTGTTGGGAAAACTGGCTAGCCATATGCAGAAAACTGAAACTGGACCCCCTCCTTACACCTTATACAAAACTTAACTCAAGATGGATAAAAGACTTAAACCTAAGATCTAAAACCATAAAAATCCTAGAAGAATACCTAGGCAATGCCATTCAGGACACAGGCATGGGCTTCATGACTAAAACACCAAAAGCAATGAAAACGAAAGCCAAAATTGACAAATGGAATCTAATTAAACTAAAGAGCCTCTGCACAGCAAAAGAAACTATCATCAGAGTGAACCCAGAGAATGGGAGAAAAGTTTTGCAATCTATCCCTCTGACAAAGGGCTAATATCCAGAATCTACAAGCAACTTAAACAAATTTACAGGAAAAAAACAACTCCATCAAAAAGTGGGCAAGGGATATGAACAGACACTTCTCAAAAGAAGACATTTATGTGGCCAATACACATGAAAAAAAGCTCACCATCACTGGTCATTAGAGAAATGCAAATCAAAACCACAATGAGATATCATCTCATGCCAGTTAGAATGGTAATCATTAAAAGTCAGGAAACAACAAATGCTGGAGAGGATGTGGAGAAATAGGAATCCTGTTACACTGTTGGTGGGAGTGTAAATTAGTTCAACCATTGTGGAAGACAGTGTGGTGATTCCTCAAGGATCTAGAACCAGAAATACCATTTGACCCAATAATCCCATTACTGGGTATATACCCAAAGGATTATAAATCATTCTGCTATAAAGACACATGCACACTTTTGTTTATTGCAGCACTGTTCACAAGAGCAAAGACTTGGAACCAACGCAAATGCCCATCAATGATAGGCTGGATAAAGAAAATGTGGCACATATACACCATGGAATACTATGCAGCTATAGAAAAGGATGAGTTCATGTCCTTTACAGGGACATGGAAGAAGCTGGAAACCATCATCCTAAGCAAACTAACACAGAAACAGAAAAGCAAACACCACATGTTCTCAATCATACATGGGAGTTGAACAATGAGAGCACATGGACACAGGGAGGAGAACATCACACCCTGTGGCCTGTCAGGGGTTGGGGGGCTAGGGGAGGGATAGCATTAGGAGAAATACCTAATGAAGATGATGGGCTGATGATTGCAGCAAACCACCATGGCACGTGTATACCTATGTAACAAACCTGCACGTTCTGCACATGTATCCCAGAACTTAAAGTGTAATAAAGAAAGATGAGGATTTCTACTTTAGCAAAAGCACTGGGCCCATTTCTTATGCTGTTCTGAGTTTGGAAGAGCTCAGCTGAGCCAAAATGAGTGCAGAGGGAGGTGAGATGCAGTCCCACTGAGATTTGCTTCATTATATAAAGGTGTTTTCAATTCTGCATCCAATAGCCTCAAATTGTAAGTGCTTTAGGACCAACCAAGTGTGAGATATTGCTCTAACAACAGTCATTGCATTCATTTAAAAAATGGGTATAGGTAGAGTTACTTATCTAAAGAAATGAAAGTAATACTTTCCTGTCTTCAGCTATAAAGTTGAGCTTGCAGTGACTCATTTAAAATGTTTTATTTATAATTGTTGGGTCAGTGGTTGGGAGGGAAATCCAAATTCTATATAGATAATAGAGTTCTCTAGTCCAGTGAATACTTGATTTTTTTTTTAAGTAAGCTTATGTTTGGTTAGTATTTACTATGTGGATACACTGATCTGCAGTTCTCAAGTACCAAATTCAAGTGTAAGTGAATTTAGATTTTATCAATAATCCTTTTTGATGCAGCACATATAAAAAATGTTAAGGGAAATGTGCCTGATGCCAGCTCATCTTTGAAGTGCAGACATTATAAGTCAATCACCAATAAGAACATAGTTTCCATTCTGCAGTATATATGTGTACAATGTATATTTCCTGACTAAAGGTTTATTATCAAGAAAACTAGCTACCAAACAGCACATCAGCACATCAGCTAGCCTCAGACCCTTAACAAATTTGCTTTTCTTCTTTTTTTCAGAGTCCACAGAGCTATTTTATTATTATTACTATTATTATTATTATTATTATTTTTAATTATATTTTAAGTTTTAGGGTACATGTGCACATTGTGCAGGTTAGTTACATATGTATACATGTGCCATGCTGGTGTGCTGCACCCACTAACTCGTCATTTAGCATTAGGTATATCTCCCAATGCTATCCCTCCCCCCTCCCCCCTCCCCACCACAGTCCCCAGAGTGTGATATTCCCCTTCCTGTGTCCATGTGATCTCATTGTTCAATTCCCACCTATGAGTGAGAATATGCGGTGTTTGGTTTTTTGTTCTTGCGATAGTTTACTGAGAATGATGGTTTCCAATTTCATCCATGTCCCTACAAAGGACATGAACTCATCATTTTTTATGGCTGCATAGTATTCCATGGTGTATATGTGCCATATTTTCTTAACCCAGTCTATCATTGTTGGACATTTGGGTTGGTTCCAAGTCTTTGCTATTGTGAATAATGCCGCAATAAACATACATGTGCATGTGTCTTTATAGCAGCATGATTTATAGTCCTTTGGGTATATACCCAGTAATGGGATGGCTGGGTCAAATGGTATTTCTAGTTCTAGATCCCTGAGGAATTGCCACACTGTCTTCCACAATGGTTCAACTAGTTTACAGTCCCACCAACAGTGTAAAAGTGTTCCTATTTCTCCACATCCTCTCCAGCACCTGTTGTTTCCTGACTTTTTAATGATTGCCATTCTAACTGGTGTGAGATGATATCTCACAGTGGTTTTGATTTGCATTTCTCTGATGGCCAGTGATGATGAGCATTTTTTCATGTGTTTTTTGGCTGCATAAATGTCTTCTTTTGAGAAGTGTCTGTTCATGTCCCTCGCCCACTTTTTGATGGGGTTGTTTGTTTTTTTCTTGTAAATTTGTTTGAGTTCATTGTAGATTCTGGATATTAGCCCTTTGTCAGATGAGTAGGTTGCAAAAATTTTCTCCCATGTTGTAGGTTGCCTGTTCACTCTGATGGTAGTTTCTTTTGCTGTGCAGAAGCTCTTTAGTTTAATTAGATCCCATTTGTCAATTTTGGCTTTGGTTGCCATTGCTTTTGGTGTTTTGGACATGAAGTCCTTGCCCATGCCTATGTCCTGAATGGTAATGCCTAGGTTTTCTTCTAGGGTTTTTATGGTTTTAGGTCTAACGTTTAAATCTTTAATCCATCTTGAATTGATTTTTGTATAAGGTGTAAGGAAGGGATCCACTTTCAGCTTTCTACCTATGGCTAGCCAGTTTTCCCAGCACCATTTATTAAATAGGGAATCCTTTCCCCATTGCTTGTGTTTCTCAGGTTTGTCAAAGATCAGATAGTTGTAGGTATGTGGCATTATTTCTGAGGGCTCTGTTCTGTTCCATTGATCTATATCTCTGTTTTGGTACCAGTATCATGCTGTTTTGGTTACTGTAGCCTTGTAGTATAGTTTGAAGTCAGGTAGTGTGATGCCTCCAGCTTTGTTCTTTTGGCTTAGGATTGACTTGGCGATGCGGGCTCTTTTTTGGTTCCATATGAACTTTAAAGTAGTTTTTTCCAATTCTGTGAAGAAAGTCATTGGTAGCTTGATGGGGATGGCATTGAATCTGTAAATTACCTTGGGCAGTATGGCCATTTTCACGATATTGATTCTTCCTACCCATGAGCATGGAATGTTCTTCCATTTGTTTGTATCCTCTTTTATTTCCTTGAGCAGTGGTTTGTAGTTCTCCTTGAAGAGGTCCTTCACATCCCTTGTAAGTTGGATTCCTAGGTATTTTATTCTCTTTGAAGCAATTGTGAATGGGAGTTCACTCATGATTTGGCTCTCTGTTTGTCTGTTGTTGGTGTATAGGAATGCTTGTGATTTTTGTACATTGATTTTGTATCCTGAGACTTTGCTGAAGTTGCTTATCAGCTTAAGGAGATTTTGGGCTGAGACGATGGGGTTTTCTAGATAAACAATCATGTCGTCTGCAAACAGGGACAATTTGACTTCCTCTTTTCCTAATTGAATACCCTTTATTTCCTTCTCCTGCCTCATTGCCCTGGCCAGAACTTCCAACACTATGTTGAATAGGAGTGGTGAGAGAGGGCATCCCTGTCTTGTGCCAGTTTTCAAAGGGAATGCTTCCAGTTTTTGCCCATTCAGTATGATATTGGCTGTGGGTTTGTCATAGATAGCTCTTATTATTTTGAAATACGTCCCATCAATACCTAATTTATTGAGAGTTTTTAGCATGAAGGGTTGTTGAATTTTGTCAAAGGCTTTTTCTGCATCTATTGAGATAATCATGTGGTTTTTGTCTTTGGCTCTGTTTATATGCTGGATTACATTTATTGATTTGCGTATATTGAACCAGCCTTGCATCCCAGGGATGAAGCCCACTTGATCATGGTGGATAAGCTTTTTGATGTGCTGCTGGATTTGGTTTGCCAGTATTTTATTGAGGATTTTTGCATCAATGTTCATCAAGGATATTGGTCTAAAATTCTCTTTTTTGGTTGTGTCTCTGCCGGGCTTTGGTATCAGAATGATGCTGGCCTCATAAAATGAGTTAGGGAGGATTCCCTCTTTTTCTATTGATTGGAATAGTTTCAGAAGGAATGGTACCAGTTCCTCCTTGTACCTCTGGTAGAATTCAGCTGTGAATCCATCTGGTCCTGGACTCTTTTTGGTTGGTAAACCATTGATTATTGCCACAATTTCAGCTCCTGTTATTGGTCTATTCAGAGATTCAACTTCTTCTTGGTTTAGTCTTGGGAGAGTGTATGTGTCGAGGAATGTATCCATTTCTTCTAGATTTTCTAGCTTATTTGCGTAGAGGTGTTTGTAGTATTCTCTGATGGTAGTTTGTATTTCTGTGGGATCGGTGGTGATATCCCCTTTATCATTTTTTATTGTGTCTATTTGATTCTTCTCTCTTTTTTTCTTTATTAGTCTTGCTAGCGGTCTATCAATTTTGTTGATCCTTTCAAAAAACCAGCTCCTGGATTCATTGATTTTTTGAAGGGTTTTTTGTGTCTTTATTTCCTTCAGTTCTGCTCTGATTTTAGTTATTTTTTGCCTTCTGCTAGCTTTTGAATGTGTTTGCTCTTGCTTTTCTAGTTCTTTTAATTGTGATGTTAGGGTGTCAATTTTGGATCTTTCCTGCTTTCTCTTGTGGGCATTTAGTGCTATAAATTTCCCTCTACACACTGCTTTGAATGCATCCCAGAGATTCTGGTATGTTGTGTCTTTGTTCTCATTGGTTTCAAAGAACATCTTTATTTCTGCCTTCATTTCGTTATGTACCCAGTAGTCATTCAGGAGCAGGTTGTTCAGTTTCCATGTAGTTGAGCAGCTTTGAGTGAGATTCTTAATCCTGAGTTCTAGTTTGGTTGCACTGTGGTCTGAGAGATAGTTTGTTATAATTTCTGTTCTTTTACATTTGCTGAGGAGAGCTTTACTTCCAATTATGTGGTCAATTTTGGAATAGGTGTGGTGTGGTGCTGAAAAAAATGTATATTCTGTTGATTTGGGGTGGAGAGTTCTGTAGATGTCTATTAGGTCCACTTGGTGCAGAGCTGAGTTCAATTCCTGGGTATCCTTGTTGACTTTCTGTCTCGTTGATCTGTCTAATGTTGACAGTGGGGTGTTAAAGTCTCCCATTATTAATGTGTGGGAGTCTAAGTCTCTTTGTAGGTCACTCAGGACTTGCTTTATGAATCTGGGTCCTCCTGTATAGGGTGCATATATATTTAGGATAGTTAGCTCCTCTTGTTGAATTGATCCCTTTACCATTATGTAATGGCCTTCTTTGTCTCTTTTGATCTTTGTTGGTTTAAAGTCTGTTTTATCAGAGACTAGGATTGCAACCCCTGCCTTTTTTTGTTTTCCATTTGCTTGGTAGATCTTCCTCCATCCTTTTATTTTGAGCCTATTTGTGTCTCTGCACGTGAGGTGGGTTTCCTGAATACAGCACACTGATGGGTCTGGACTCTTTATCCAACTTGCCAGTCTGTGTCTTTTAATTGGAGAATTTAGTCCATTTACATTTAAAGTTAATATTGTTATGTGTGAATTTGATCCTGTCATTATGATGTTAGCTGGTGATTTCGCTCGTTAGTTGATGCAGTTTCTTCCTAGTCTCGATGGTCCTTACATTTTGGCATGATTTTGCAGTGGCTGGTACCGGTTGTTCCTTTCCATGTTTAGCGCTTCCTTCAGGAGCTCTTTTAGGGCAGGCCTGGTGGTGACAAAATCTCTCAGCATTTGCTTGTCTGTAAAGTATTTTATTTCTCCTTCACTTATGAAGCTTAGTTTGGCTGGATATGAAATTCTGGATTGAAAATTCTTTTCTTTAAGAATGTTGAATATTGGCCCCCACTCTCTTCTGGCTTGTAGGGTTTCTGCCGAGAGATCCGCTGTTAGTCTGATGGGCTTTCCTTTGAGGGTAACCCGACCTTTCTCTCTGGCTGCCCTTAACATTTTTTCCTTCATTTCAACTTTGGTGAATCTGACAATATGTGTCTTTGAGTTGCTCTTCTCGAGGAGTATCTTTGTGGCATTCTCTGTATTTCCTGAATCTGAACATTGGCCTGCCTTGCTAGATTGGGGAAGTTCTCCTGGATAATATCCTGCAGAGTGTTTTCCAACTTGGTTCCATTCTCCACATCACTTTCAGGTACACCAATCAGACGTATATTTGGTCTTTTCACATAGTCCCATATTTCTTGGAGGCTTTGCTCATTTCTTTTTATTCTTTTTTCTCTAAACTTCCCTTCTCGCTTCATTTCATTCATTTCATCTTCCATTGCTGATACCCTTTCTTCCAGTTGATCGCATTGGCTCCTGAGGCTTCTGCATTCTTCACGTAGTTCTCCAGCCTTGGTTTTCAGCTCCATCAGCTCCTTTAAGCACTTCTCTGTATTGGTTATTCTAGTTATACATTCTTCTAAATTTTTTT
This sequence comes from Homo sapiens, assembly GCF_000001405.40. Lineage (NCBI taxonomy): Eukaryota > Metazoa > Chordata > Mammalia > Primates > Hominidae > Homo > Homo sapiens. The sequence goes on along the minus strand of NC_000006.12, from coordinate 98,417,612 downwards.
CAAAGTTTTCAACTTCTTTGCCTTTGGTTTGAATGTCCTCCCGTAGCTCAGAGTAATTTGATCGTCTGAAGCCTTCCTCTCTCAGCTCGTCAAAATCATTCTCCATCCAGCTTTGTTCCGTTGCTGGTGAGGAACTACGTTCCTTTGGAGGAGGAGAGGTGCTCTGCGTTTTAGAGTTTCCAGTTTTTCTGTTCTGTTTTTTCCCCATCTTTGTGGTTTTATCTACTTTTGGTCTTTGATGATGGTGATGTACAGATGGGTTTTCGGTGTGGATGTCCTTTCTGTTTGTTAGTTTTCCTTCTAACAGACAGGACCCTCAGCTGCAGGTCTGTTGGAATACCCTGCCGTGTGAGGTGTCAGTGTGCCCCTGCTGGGGGGTGCCTCCCAGTTAGGCTGCTCGGGGGTCAGGGGTCAGGGACCCACTTGAGGAGGCAGTCTGCCCGTTCTCAGATCTCCAGCTGCGTGCTGGGAGAACCACTGCTCTCTTCAAAGCTGTCAGACAGGGACACTTAAGTCTGCAGAGGTTACTGCTGTCTTTTTGTTTGTCTGTGCCCTGCCCCCAGAGGTGGAGCCTACAGAGGCAGGCAGGCCTCCTTGAGCTGTGGTGGGCTCCACCCAGTCTGAGGTTTCCGGCTGCTTTGTTTACCTAAGCAAGCCTGGGCAATGGCGGGCGCCCCTCCCCCAGCCTCGCTGCCGCCTTGCAGTTTGATCTCAGACTGCTGTGCTAGCAATCAGTGAGATTCCGTGGGCATAGGAACCTCCGAGCCAGGTGTGGGATATAGTCTCGTGGTGCGCCGTTTTTTAAGCCGGTCTGAGAAGCGCAATATTCGGGTGGGAGTGACCCGATTTTCCAGGTGCGTCCGTCACCCCTTTCTTTGACTCAGAAAGGGAACTCCCTGACCCCTTGCGCTTCCCAGGTGAGGCAATGCCTCGCCCTGCTTCGGCTCGTGCACGGTGCTCGCACCCACTGGCCTGCGCCCACTGTCTGGCACTCCCTAGTGAGATGAACCCGGTACCTCAGATGGAAATGCAGAAATCACCGGTCTTCTGCATCGCTCACGCTGGGAGCTGTAGACCGGAGCTGTTCCTATTCGGCCATCTTGGCTCCTCAACAAATTTGCATTTTTAAGTCCAGTGTAACTGAGATAGATGTACCATTGATATTATATACATGCTCTTTAAAACTGTCTTCATGGTTTATATGAACCTAAGCAACCAAAATTAAAATGAATGCCATGAGAAATGAGATGATAGAGCCATCTGTATTAGATTAACACTGTTGTTCAGAAAGATGAGTCCTGTATACCAGATGTTAGAAGAAGAAAGAAGGTGGAGTACATTGTCAGGGATTCTAGTACAAACATATATTGCTGGAGTTGCTGAACTGCTGGCTCTAACTGGCACAACTAGGCGAGTTGGAAATGAGCTGTCTGTATGACACAGTGGCATTGTTCAACTTGAAGGCAAAGGAATAAAGCCAGAAACAGAGCTAATGACTGCAGTCATAATACCATTTTTAAAAATGACTTCAGATCAAGTTGTGCATGGATTTCCACGTGAAATACACAAGTTAACACTCTGATCTCTTTCATCTATTTTTATAAAGGATCATTCTATAGAGTTCAAGATATTCTAAAAAATGTAGATATTATTTGTGAAAGGTGGAGAGCTGATTAGTGGGTCTCAATTCAGTGGGATGATTCACTCAAAAATGTGAATGGGCATTCTTAACGGTCCTCACCTGACTGAATGTACTTTTGAATGAATTAATAAATTAAAAGTTGCAAGGTATTTTAGGAAGTTTTGAGATAAAAAAGGATATGAAAATGAAGTAAAATTATCATTAGACAATCCTATTATAGTAACATAAAGTAGGTTACATTTTGTTTTATATTCAGTAGTAAAGGAAATACTATTGAATTACAAAGTTTATTTACTTCCTTGAAGGTAGCTATTTTTGATTTCTCAATTTCAGTGCCTGTAGTTCCCTATCTTCAAATTAAATCATGACCAATTTCTCTCTGGCTTTAGGTGTTTCCATGGCTCAAATGTCACATGAAATTTTGTTTTATATTCTTATTCTTTAATTTGTTAGGTCACCTTTTTGTGGAGTGACCTAACCAAGGTAAGAGATAAGACTATGTTTTAACATCTGTAGCTCAAATATTTAACTGATACCTTTTATTTATATATTTTTTAAAAAATTAATAGTGTGCTTATTTAATTTTGATTTGTTTACATATCCTGCACCTTCCTGGCTTTGCCACTATCTATTCCTATGACTTCTGGGAGACATTTAACATCAACAAGTCTAAATTTCCCTATCTATGTAATAGGATTAATGAGATTACAGTGTGAAGTTTCTTCAGTTGTATATTTTACTAAGAAGCTGTTTAGAATATTTTGATGCCACATCATTAATTAAAAATTTTAAATATGGACAGTTTAAATTTAGATAAGGAGAGTTTTTTCTAGTTAATTCTTTCTTTCTGAATCATGAAAGAATTGTATGAGAGGTTTGTAGATGTCAGCAGCTATGTAGGTTGGGTACTGTGTTAAATTTTTTCACGTTAAAACTGAATGGGTCCAAGTATGAGAAAGCAATACAGTTCCCATGAATTTTTTTATTATTATGATTTAAGTTCTGGGATACATATTCAGAACATGCACGTTTGTTACATAGGTATATACATGCCATGGTGGTTTGCTGCACGCATCAACCCGTCATGTACAATAGGTATTTCTCCTAATGCTATCCCACCACTAAGTCCCCCACCCCTTGACAGGCCCTGGTGTGTGATGTTCCCCTCCCTGTGTCCATGTGTTCTCATTGTTCAACTCCCACATATGAGTGGGAACATGCAGTGTTTGGTTTTCTGTTCCTGTGTTAGTTTGCTTAGGATGATGGTTTCCAGCTTCATCCATGTCCCTGTAAAGGACATGAACTCATCCTTTTTTATAGCTGCATAGTATTCTATGGTGTATATGTGCCACATTCTCTTTATCCAGTCTATCATTGATGGGCATCTGGGTTGGTTCCAAGTCTTTGCTCTTGTGAACAGTGCTGCGATAAACAAAAGTGTGCATGTGTCTTTGTAGTAGAATGACTTATAATCCTTTGGGTATATACCCAGTAATGGGATTAGGGTCAAATGGTATTTCTGGTTCTAGATCCTTGAGGAATCACCACACTGTCTTCCACAATGGTTGAACTAGTTTACACTCCCAACAACAGTGTAACAGCATTCCTATTTCTCCACATCCTCCCCAGCATTTATTGTTTCCTGACCTTTTGATGATTGCCTTTCTAACTGGTGTGAGATGGTATCTCACTGTGGTTTGGATTTGCATTTCTCTAATGACCAGTGGTGATGAGATTTTTTTCATGTTTGTTGGCCACATAAATGTATTCTTTTGAGAAGTGTCTGTTCATATCCTTTGCCCACTTTTTGATGAAGTTGTTTGTTTTTTTCTTGTAATTTGTTTAAGTTCTTTGTAGATTCCGGATATTAGCCCTTTGTCAGATGGCTAGATTGCAAAATTTTGTCCCATTCTGTAGGTTGCCTGTTCACTCTGATAATAGTTTCTTTTGCTGTGCAGAAGCTCTTCAATTTAATTAGATCCCATTTGTCAATTTTGGCTTTTGTTGCCACTGCTTTTGGTGTTTTAGTCATGAAGTCCTTGCCCATGCCTATTTCCTGAATGGTATTGCCTAGGTATTCTTCTAGGGTTTTTATGGTTTTAGATCTTAGGTTTAAGTCTTTAATTCAATTTGTGTTAATTTTTGTATAAGGTGTAAGGAGGAGGTCCAATTTCACTTTTGTTCATATGGCTAGCCAGTTTTCCCAACACCATTTATTAAATAGGGAATCCTTTCCCTTTTGCTTGTTTCTGTCAGGTTTGTCAAACATCAGATGGTTGCAGATGTGTGACATTATTTCTGAGGCCTCTGTTCTGTTTCATTGGTCTATATATCTGTTTTGGTACTGGTACCATGCTGTTTTGGTTACTGCAGCCTTTAAGTATAGTTTAAAGTCAGGTAGTGTGATGTCTCCAGCTTTGTTCTTTTTGCTTAGGATTGTTTTGGCTATGGGCTCTTTTTTGGTTCCATATGAAATTTAAAGTAGTTTTTTCTAATTCTGTGAAGAAAGTCAGTGGGGATAGCATTGAATCTATAAATTACTTTGGGCAGTATGGCCATTTTCACGATATTGATTCTTCTATCCATGAGCATGGAATTTTTTCCATTTGTTTGTGTCCTCTCTTATTTTCCTGAGCAGAGGTTTGAATTTCTTTTTGAAGAAGTTCTTCACATCCCTTGTAAGTTGTATTTCTAGGTATTTTATTCTCTTTGTAGCAATTGTGAATGGGAGCTCAATCATGATTTGGCTCTCTGCTTGTCTGTTCTTGGTGTATAGGAATGCTTGTGATTTTTGCACGTTGATTTTGTATGCTGAGACTTCGCTGAAGTTTCTTATCAGCTTAAGGAGATTTTGGGCTGAGACAATGGGGTTTTCTAAATACACAATCATGTCATCTGCAAACAGAGACAATTTGACTTTCTCTCTTCCTATTTGAATATGCTTTATTTCTTTCTCTTGCCTGATTGCCCTGGTGAGAATTTCCAGTACTATGTTGAATAGGAGTGGTGAGAGAGGGCATCCTTGTCTCATGCCAGTTTTCAAAGGGAATGCTTCCAGCTTTTGCCCATTCAGTATGATATTGGCTGTGGGTTTGTCATAAATAGCTCTTAATATTTTCAGATATGTTGCATCTATACCTAGTTTATTGAGAGTTTTTAGCATGAAGGGATGTTTAATTTTATTGAAAGCCTTTTCTTCATCTATTGAGATAATCATGTGGTTTTTGTCATCGGCTCTGTTTATGTGATGGATTACATTTATTGATTTGCGTATGTTGAAGCAGTCTTGCATCCCAGGGATGAAGCCTACTTGATTGTGGTGGATAAGCTTTTTGTTGTGCTGCTGGATTCGGTTTGCAGTACTTTATTGAGGATTTTCGCATTGATGTTCATCAGAGATATTGGCCTGAAATTTTCTTTTTTTGTTGTATCTCTGCCAGGTTTTGGTGTCAGGATGATGCTGGCCTCATAAAATGAGTTAGGAAGGAGTCCCTCTTTTTCTCTTGTTTAGAATAGTTTCAGAAGGAGTGGTACCAGCTCCTTCCTGTACCTCTGGTAGAATTCGGCTGTGAATCCATCTGGTCCTGGGCTTTTTTGGTAGGCTATTAATTACTGCCTCAATTTCAGAACTTGTTATTGGTCTATTCAGGGATTTAACTTCTTCCTGGTTTAGTCTTGAAAGGGTGTTCATGTCCAGGAATTTACCCATTTCTTCTAGATTTTCTAGTTTATTTGCATAGAGGTGTTTATAATATTCTCTGATGGTAGTTTGTATTTCTGTGGGATCAGTGGTGATATCCCCTTCATCATTTTTTATAGTTTCTATTTGATTCTTCTCTCTTTTCTTCTTTGTTAGTCTGCCTAGTGGTCTACCTATTTTGTTAATCTTTTCAAAAAACCAGCTCCTTCATTCATTGATTTTTTTGAAGGATTATTCATATCTCTATCTCCTTCAGTCCTGCTCTGATCTTAGTTATTTCTTGTCTTCTGCTAGCTTTTGAATTTGTTTACCAAAAAACAAAGCAGGGATTGCAATCCTAGTCTCTGATAAAACAGACTTCAAACCAACAAAGATCAGAAAAGACAAAGAAGGGCACTACATAATGGTAAAGGGATCAATGCAACAAGAAGAGCTAACTATTCTAAATATACATGCACCCAATACAGGAGCACCCAGGTTCATAAAGCAAGTACTTAGAGACCTATAAAGAGACTTAGACTCCCACACAATAATAGTGGGAGACTTTAACACCCCACTGTCAATATTAGACAGCTCAATGAGACAGAAAATCAACAAGGAATTCAGGACTTGAATTCAACTCTGGACCAAGCAGACCTAATAGATATCTACAGAACTCTCCACTCCAAATCAACAGAATATACGTTCTTCTCAGCACCTCATCACACTTATTCTAAAATTGACCAGATAATTGGAAGTAAAACACTCCTCAGTAAATGCAAAAGAATGGAAATCGTAACAGTCTCTCAGACCACAGTGCAATCAAATTAGAACTCAAAACTACATGGAAACTGAACAATCTGCTCCTGAATGACTACTGGATAAATAACAAAATTAAGGTAGAAATAAATAAGTTCTTTGAAACCAATGAGAACAAAGATACAATGTACCAGAATCTCTGGTGTTTAGAGGGGAATTTATAGCACTAAATGCCCACAGGAGAAAGCAGGGAAGGTCTAAAACTGACACCCTAACATCACAATTAAAAGAACTAGAGAAGCTAGAGTTCCCATGAATCTTTAAGCCAATTGGCTTATAGAAAAGGGAAAGTTACAACAGATATAATAAACCTTGAAAGGAACCAAATTACATTTCACTCTATTTAGTTTCTTTATAGCAAGTCAATGGCATTCTGTTAAAAGATCAATGGCATTAGAAGGTATAGGAGCAAATTGTTTTTAAATTTGTCAGGTGACTTTTAGTGTATTTTCTTCAGTTATTATGCTAATCTAAGAAACATTACTGTAAAAGAGTGTTGTGCTTGTTATTTTCACGTTTCAATTTGAGTGGGCCATGGGGTGCCTAGAGATTTGGTTAAATGTTATTCTGGATGTATCTGTGAGGATGTTTCTGGATGAGATTAACATTTGAATCAGTAGCTTGAGTAAAAACAGATGAATCTTCCTAATGTGCAGGAGCTTCATCCAATCTATTGAAGGTCTGAATGGAATAAAAAGATGAGTAAGAAATAATTATTTTTCTCTGCCTGACGGTTTTCCAGCTAGACATCAGTCTGCTGTCTTTAAACTCTGACCGTGGCTTATATCAATGGGTCTTCTGGTTCTCAGGGTCTCAGAGGACTCAGACTGGAACTTACTCTGTTTGTTCTCCTGGTTCACAGGCCTTCTGACTCAAACTAAACTCTACTATTGGCTCTCCTGGGTTTCCACCTTGCCAAATATACACCTTAGACTTCTCGGCACTCATAATCACGTGAGCCAATGATATATATATATATATATATATTTAAATCCTATTGGTTTTGTTTCTCCAGGGAACCCAGACTAATATAGAATTTTGTACTGAAAGTGGTTCCAGAGGAACAGAATTTTAAGGATGTGTTTTCTGAATTGATTCTGGGATTTTTGGAATTCTGTGCCTAATCTGATTAGATTTAACAACACTAATGACTCTTGCCAGTAGTAAAGAGAACACTGATAGTCCATTGCATGGCCTGGCAATAAAGATATGCATACACAAAATATCTGCATCATATATTTCTAATCAACAGCTTATAAACAGCAAGGGGTTGGGTGACTGTGCGTATGATATTTTTGAACATCTTTGAATATTTAACTGCTGTTGAGGGAATGTGTACATCCCCCCACACATCTCCCAACTCATATGTTGAAACCTAATCCCCACTCTAATGGTCTTTAAAGGTGGGGCCTTAGATAAGTGAAAAGGTCATGAGGATACAACTGTTATGAATGAACGAATGCCCTTTAAAAGGGGCCCCAGAGAGCACCCTTGCCGCTTCCACCATATGAAGACACAATGGGAAGATGGCCATCTGTGAACAAGGAGGCAGGCCCTCACCATACACCTAATCTGCCAGCACTTTGGTCTTAGACTTCCCAGCCTCCAGAACTATGAAGAATAAATTTCTGTTTTTTATAAGCCAACCAGTTTAGTATTTTGTTATAGTTACATGGATGAACCAGGACACTCACGAATATAGTGAAGCTGGCTTATTCTCCTAATGTCACTGGACAAAGGGGTGAAATGAAAGAATGAGATAAGAAATTCAAAGTCTCAGTTCAAACACTGCGTAAATGACCTGGATGCTTTATGTGCGTCTTTTCTTTTATAGCCACGGAACTGGGATTCCTGAAAATCAAATACAGAACTCATCATACCATTGGTTGAATTACAATGTAAGTTCAACTCCCAGCCCCTCAATTTATCTACTGTTAAAGTAAGGACTTTGATTGGGAGAAAATGGGATCCTGTAAGTTGTAATGTGGATGTGTGGGAAGACCCTAATGAAGCTAAGGGCATTGAACCCCTAAATTCTGACAAGTCTTCTTTGCCAGTGGAAGAGGCCTACTCACCTCTAGCAGAAGTGGCCTCTCCAATCACAGCTGCTTTCCCACCTTGGTGGTCTCAGCCTCTCCACCCTTGTCTGAGGGGATTAACCCTGCATTGCCTAAGGAAACTGTAATGACCTTCTCTGAGGCAGTTTCCATGCAAGACAATGTTCACTCTTCTCAGGACCTGTCCCTTCCACCCCGCTTTGCTTCTAGACCTAGTAGTAGACTAAAGTTCCAGCCAGCCCCTAAAGGGAGGTACTCATTGTGACCCATGGTGCACTACTTTCCAAAAGAACAGCTTAAGTTTTCTAATATGGGTAAGCAGAAATCCAGGAAACATGTGTGGGAATAGATATTAATGGTGTGTGATAATGGGTGTTAAGAACATTAAGTTGGATCAGTCTGAATTCATTGATATGGGCTCACATAGCAGAGATTCTCTATTTAATATCATAGCTCAGAAGTTAGATTAGAGGTATGCAGACCTTTCAGAATGGGCAAAAAGTGTGAAGATATTTGTGTTCCATGTGAATGCCCACCAGATGGTGAACTCAGCAGAGGATTTTACTAATCAAGTGGACAGAATGACTTGTCCTGTGGATATTCAGGAGGTAGAAAGGGTTCTAAGAGTTTGTTTGCTTAGTTGGTTGAAACATGGACTGAAAGGTGGCCCACAGTGAGCAAATGAGAAATACAGGACCTGTCTTGGTTTAACGTAGAGGAAGGGATTCAAAGGGAGATTGGAGTATTAGAGTGGATTTGTCATTTAATGCCTATTCAGCCACACTAGAAGGATACAGAAAACATACTTATTTATTACCCTTACCATGAGAAATAAATTTGTGAGGGGAGTTATGGCATCCTTGAAGAGCTCTGTGATTGCTGTTCTCTGTAGGACAGCCCTTACAGTAGTGCCTGCAGACCACTGGGAAAACTAAAGGCAGTGGGAGTAATTGGATCCCAGGTGGCTGCAGTCATGTGGCTGCACTCAACCACCAACGGCAAGGTGGGTGTGTGGTTACTGTAATGGGTAGCAGAGTCAAAGCGGCAATCAGAATAGCCTGATTCATGCAAACTTATAGTGCTGGCTAGTTGACCATGGTGTTCCCAGAGTGAAATAGATAAGAAGCCTACTACATTCCTTCTTGATTTATATAAGCAGAAAAGTTCTAGGTCACATGAACAAAAGTCTAACCTGAATTGTAATAATAGAGTCACAGCCCCTCAAACAATTATCAGGATTGAGCCAGTTTTCAAACCCAGAACTGCTAGAATGAAGGGAAAGGCCAAGACCCCTAGAGAAAGGATCTTGGTAAAGTACTGAAAATTTGTACTGGTAATTTTTGTCCAAGCCTTCCCCAAAGGGACCTATGGCCTTTTAGCAGGGTAACTGTGTACTGGGGAAAAGGAAATGATCAGACCTTTCAGGTACTACTGGACACCAACTATGAAATGACATTGATTCCAGGTGACCCAAAATGTCACTGTGGCTCGCTATTTAGGGTAGAGGGTTATGGTCGGCAGGGAATCAAAGAAGTTTTAGCTCAGGTTTGTCTCTCAGTGGGCCCAGCGTGTCCTTGACCCCATCCTATGGTTATTTCCCCAGTTTTGGGATGCAAAATTGGAATAGATACTTTCAGCATCTGGCAAAATACTCACACTGATTCTCTAACCTGTGATATGAGGGCCTACAATGATGAAGACCAAGTGAGAGCCACTAAAATGGTGACTTCCTAGCAAAATAGTAAACTGCAAGCAATACTGCATTCCTGGAGGGATTGCAGAGAATAATGCCACCATCAAGGACTTGAATGATGCCGGGGAGTGATTCCTACCACATCCCCATTCAATTCACCTGCTTGGCTTGTGCAAAAGACAGAGGAACCTTGGAGAATGACAGCAGATGATCATAAGCTTAATTGTGTGGTGACTCCAATTGTAGCTGCTGTGCCAGATGTGATTTCATTGCTAGAGCAAATTAATATTAATACATCCCCTGATACCTGGTGTGCAGCTATTGATCTGGCAAATGCTTTCTTATTGATATCTGTTAGTAAAGATCACTAGAAGCAGTTTGCTTTTAGCTGCCAAGGCCAGCAATGCACCTTCACTGTCCTACCTCAGGGGGATATCACTTTTCCAACCCTGTGTCTTCATTTAGTTTGCAGGGATCTTTGCCTTACTACAAGACATCACACTGGTCCACTACATTGATGACATTATGCTAATTGGACTTAATGAGCAAGAAGCAGCAACTAATTTAGGCTTAATTGTAAGACATTTGTGTAGCAGAGGATGTGCAATAAATTTCAAAAATTCAGAGGCCTTGTACCTCCGGGAAATTTCTTAGGGTCCTGTGATGTGGGGCGTGTTGAGATATCCCTTCCAAGGTAAAGAATAAGTTGTTGCAACTGGCCTCTCCTTAAAACCAAAAAATGGGGCACAACATTTAGTGGGCTCATTTATCAAATGACCCCAAAAGTTGCTAGTTTTGAATGGAGACAAGAGATGGCTGTGCAACAGTTCCAAGCTGCCGTGCAAGCTGCTCTGACACTTGAGCCATATGATCCATTGCATCCATTGGTGCTTGAAGTTTCAGTGGCAGATAAAGATGTTTTTTGAAACCCTTGGCAGGCCCCCACTGGTGAATCATGAAGAAGGCCCTGAGGATTTTGGAGCAAAGCTCTGCCATCTTCTTCAAGTAAACACTCTCTTTCGAGAAACAGCTCTTGGCGTGCTACTGGGCCTTAGTAGAGACTGAACACTTAAGCATGGACCGCCAGGTTACCATGAAATCTGAGCTGTCCATTATGAATTAGGTGTTATCTGACCCACCAAGGCCTAAAGTTGGGCATGCCCATCAGCAATCCATAATAAAGTGGAAGTGATATATATGTGAGGGGACCCAAATAGACCGTAAGGAAACAGGTAAGTTACATGAAGAAGTGGTCCCAAAGCCTAAGGTCCTCACTTCTGCTACTCGGCCTTCTCTTTCTCAGCCCATACCTATCACCACATGGGAAGATCCTGATGATCAGCTGGCAAAAGAAGACATCTAGGGCCTGGGGTGTGAATTATATGCAGGCACAACCTAAACGTAGGTAGCTGTAGCACTGTAGCCTTGTTCTTGGGCATCCTAAATGAGAATGGTAAAGGGAAATCCTTCTGTCAAGCAGAACATGGTTGTTCTCTTAGTTCAGAAGGAAAAATGGCCAGATGTATGTACTGATTCATGGTCTGTGATCAATGGTTTGATAGTATGGTCAGGGTCATGGAAGGAATATAATTGAAAAATTGGTGACAAGAAAAAATTTAGATTAGAGGTATGCAGACCTTTCAGAATGGGCAAAAAGTGTGAAGATATTTGTGTCCCCTGTGAATGTTCACCAGATGGTGAACTCAGCAGAGGAGGATTTTACTAATCAAGTGGACAGAATGACTTGTCCTGTGAAAATTCAGTCAGCCTCTTTCTCCAGCCACCCCGTCATCACATAATGAACTTATGAACAAAGTGGCCACGTTGGCAGAGATGGAGGTTATGCATAGGCTTAGCAACATGGAATTCCATTCACAAAGGCAGACCTGGCTATGGCCACTGCTGATTGCCCAATCTGCCAGCAGCAGAGACTAACACTGAACTCCTGATATAGCACCATTCCTTGGGGTGATCAGCCAGCTACCTAGTAGGAGATTGATTACATTATACTGCTTTCATCATGGAAGGGACTGTGTTCTGTTCTTTCTAGAATAGACATTTACTCTGTTTCTTTTTATTTTTATTTTTTAATCTTAAAGCCTTTCATCCCTAATAGACATTTACTTTGAATATGGATTTTCCTCCCCTGTATGCAATGTTTTTGCCATCTATGGACTTACAGACTACCAGAATACCATATCTATCGTCATGATATTTCACACAGCATTGCTTGTGACAAAGATACTCACTTCACAGCCAAAGAAATGTGGTGATGGACCCACATTTATGAGATTTACTGCTTTTACCATATTCTCCACCATCTTGAAACAGCTGGCTTTATAGAAAAGTAGAATGGCCTTTTGAAGACTCTTTTATACTTCCAAATATATGTCAATAACTTACAGGATTAGGGCAGGTTCTATGAAAAGCTGTATATTCTCTGAGTTCAATATATTGTGCTATTTCTCTGATAGCTAGGATGCATGGGTCCAAGAATCAAGGAGTGGAAATGGGAGTGGCATCACTCACTATTAACCATAGTGATGCATTAGCAAAATTTTTCTTCCCATTCCTGTCAATTTATGTTCTGCTGGCCTAGAATTCTTAGGTTAGAAGGGAGTAATGCTTCTACCAAAAAACATAAGAATGTTTTCCATTGAACTGGAAGTTAAGATTGCAGCCTGACCACTTTGGACTCCTCATGCCTCTGAATCAATAGGCAAAGAAAGAAGTTACCATGCTTGGTGACCACCTGACTACCAAGTGGAAATTGGACTGCTACTTCACAATGAAGGTAAGGAAGAGTATGTCTGGAACACTGAAGGTCATCCCTAAAGTCTTCTCTTACTATTACGATGCCATATGATTAAGGTCAATGGAAAACTGCAACAATCAAATCCTGGTAGTAAAACTAATAGCTCAAATCCTTTAGGAATGAAAGCTTGTGTCTTTCCACCAGGTAAAGAACTATGACCAACTGAGGTGCTTGCTGAAGGCAATAGGAATACAGAATGAGTAGTGAAAGAAGGAAGTTATATTTACTAGCTATGGCTACGTGTCCAGTTACAGAAATGAAGACTGTAATTGTCATGAATATTTATTCATTATTTTGTTATAAACATGTTTTTGTATATGTATCTGTGTGTATATTTTTGTTTTCATTCTTCCTTTATTTTATTATTAAATAACAAAAAATATTTGGATTTATATCATATTTAAGTATGGTTAATTTTATATCATAGTATTTAAGTTATGAAATATTGAGAAGACAATATCATTTAAGGACTTTGATTCCTCTGTGGAAAGGGTTAATGTATTTCTGATTATATGCAGTATAATTATATCACGTTAGACATAATTATGACCTTATTATCATCTTCATTTGGAGATCAGGTATAGTTTAAGGAAATGAATATAGGTGCCAAGTTGATAAGGAGTGGACTTGCAATGGTTAATTGCATGCCTCAGTTTAAGTGGACAATGGGGTGCCCAGATATTTGGTTAAGCATCACCTGGGAGTGTCTATGGGGGTGTTTCTGGATGATATTAACATTCGAATAAGTAGAGTGAGTGAAACAGATTTCTCTCCATAATACGAG